>NC_000007.14:148700804-148852319 GCF_000001405.40 Homo sapiens
TAGATATGCTAGGGTTTTTCACCAATTTATAAAAGCCTCCCTCCCTGAGAGCCACATGCTCAGGTCCTTATAGCCAGCCCCACCCCCCACTCCTAATGTGTGTACCACATCAGAAGACAGACACGCATGCCTGAGCTGATTCTGCATGGTTTCCTTAGATATTACAGTTCATTAGACTCTTGCCACTTACTGAATATTATCTTCTAGCTGTAATTAACTACATGACAGCCTTATTTCCCATACATTTCCGATTGTGAATTCCTCCAGCGCAGGAGATATTCCTTATTTGTTTTTGCGTCCCCAGAGTAACAGAACTTGGTTGTGGTGGTGCCTCAGTTGCTTTTTTTTAATGAATGAGTTTTCTGGAATAATTCTAACTTAAACTTAACGTTTGAAAACATGCGCTGATTTTTGGCTACAGAAAACACAGTCGTTGTGCTTAAGCCGGTTAAGAATTCAAGCTTTATTATACACTTCTCGAGTAAAATTGATCGTCTCTCTCATCCCTCCTTTTCTATTCCCCCTTCCCTCTTCACTTCCCTTCTCCCTGAAACACCCCAGTATCTAGTACAGGGCCCTAACAGAAAAATGCCCAGGTTTTCTATACCTATGGAAGTCTGGGAAAGTGCCAAGAAAACAGGTTGTGAAACTTTAACTTTTTTCCCCCTTAAAACTAGTTTTAAGGTGTGGATGTTTTTACTTTTTGTGTTTGGTGTTTTTTTGGAAACACGATCAGGTTTTTCCCCCCAGGTTGAGTATCCAGCCTTGCCTTTGCAATGAAGCAGTTTGGTAGTTAAGGCTCCTCCTTGTAGATGAGGCAAGCCCCATGGTTCTGCTGGAGTGGGATAGGAAGTTGCTGTAGGAGGAACCATCCCTTGGTCTCTGAGGGCCATTCATCAGAATGTCATTCCCAGTATACCCAGTGGTGTCTGTCTTTCAGCATGGAAAATTAAAATGAATGTACTTTAAATTGAGGAGTTGTTACTTGCCATTCTTCAAATTAAAAATATTAGGGCCTTAAAAACTTAGGAACTTGGTTTTTTGTTTGTTTTGCTGTTTCAGCCTTCCGTAGGTCCTAAAGCCAGTGACCTTGAGTCATTCTGGAATAAAATGTCTTTGGGGGACTGTCAGCTTCATTTTGAACTTGTCTTTTAGGTATGTCTGGAGAAAAGAGTGTTAACCATTTTAAGGGCCAATTCTAAGGTTGCCTTGCTTTTTAAAAACATTTGGTAGTTTATCAGTGTGTTTGTTTTGCTTCCAAATGAAGAAATGAGCATTAAATGAAAAATAGATCCTATTTGGATAAAAGCCTTATGTTTACTACTGAGGACATAATTTCCTGTTTATAGGAGGTTTCCTGTTTATAATATGAAGATTTAGTAAACACACTATAAACAGAATTATTATAACATTTAATGACTTAAGTTTTTTATTCACTCATGGAGGTGTTTCATTTCTAAAAATTCCGTGAGGGAGAGAGATTGAAGTCATTTATTTTTGCTTAGGTATAGAACATCTTGCTTGGGAGAGAAGACATGGAGTCTAGTTCAAGCTTACCTTTGCAGGGCATATATTTCCTCGTTTTTAAAATGAGATGGTTTTTAATTGACACTGTTGATTTCCTTAGGCCCCGAAAGTATGTGGATTCCATGGGAATGCCACAGCTTTTAACATTAACAGGATTTTGGAAAAACGGTCTTAAAGAACATTAAGTATTGTATTCATGTTTAAAAAGCAGGGTTGTGAAGCCTAAGTTTGATAGTTAAATTTTTTCCCTTGGGAAACTTGGACCAAGTAAGCACTGGTCTGCCTTTCCTAGTGTTGACTCCATGCTTCAGCGCTATTGCAGTTCCATTCTGGATCTGACTCTTTGCCTTTTCTATCACCTGACGGCTCACACATCACCATCTCTGGAAAGCTGGCCCTGATGTCCTGGTCTGGGTTAGGAGCCTTCTCTGGGTTCCCATGTTGTCCTGCCTATGTCACTATCACAGTATTTAACCTTTTGATTGTAGTTGGTGGTTTCTCCCACCAAACTGACCTCCTTTGGGACAGGGACACTGTGATATGCATCTGTCCCCAGTGCCTAGCATACTGCATGCATCAACATTCACATACATCCTTCCACTGGAAATCTTTACAGTGCCCTCTGAAGTGTGGGTACTATGGTTTAACCCACTTTACAGAATATAGGTGAAGGAGCTGAGACTTTGAGTGGTGCAGGTAAGGGCTAGGAAGGTAGTCAAGCCCGAGTTAAACGGGACAGGATAACTCCGGAGCTCAGGCTTTTAACCAGATGTTCCCTGAGTGTTTGACTAGTTTATGTGAAGATGGAAGAAGACTAGAAGAGATTAAAATGAAAATGCTTTAAGGACTGATATCTGATCATTATGGCAGAATTCATTATGCAGAACTGTGATCCACTACCAAGAATGAGCTTATTCTTCCTGGTCTTTTAGTAACATTGTGGGAGAGTAATTGGGCACTGATAGCATAGACACGAACAGTTCTGGAACTTTGGGGCTATTGTTAAATTGGGTGTGATGTTATGACTCATTGGCCTTGCAAAAATTTATAAAACCATTCAAGACTGTTCAAATATAACAAGCTGCAATTTTTTTAAAGGTCTGTGTTAGAAAATACTTCGGAAAATAGATTGTATGAAATGGGTGCAGCCATTTAAAATATGTATAAAGTGTGTATGTACTAGTGAAGGTTTTTTTGTTTTTTGTTTTTTGTTTTTTTTGAGACAGAGTCTC
Source organism: Homo sapiens (assembly GCF_000001405.40). Taxonomy (NCBI): domain Eukaryota; kingdom Metazoa; phylum Chordata; class Mammalia; order Primates; family Hominidae; genus Homo; species Homo sapiens. Next base: position 148,703,564 of record NC_000007.14, read on the forward strand.
ACTCTGTCGCCCCCACTGGAGTGCAGTGGCGTGATCTCGGCTCACTGCAACCTCCGCCTCCTGGGTTCAAGCGCTTCTCCTGCCTCAGCCTCCCGAGTAGCTGGGATTACGGTGCCTGCCACTACACCCAGCTAATTTTTTGTATTTTTAGTAGGGACGGGGTTTCACCATGTTGGCCAGGCTGGTCTCAAACTCCTGACCTCGTGATTCACCTGCCTTAGCCTGCCAAAGTGCTGGGATTACAGGCGTGAGCCACTGCGCCCGGCCGTGAGGATATTTAAAGTAGTAAAAATGGCTGTCATTTTAGGGGGGTAAGCTTGGGTGCTTTTAAAATATTTTTTCAAGAAAAAATTTAAGAACCAAAAAGTAACAGCATGGCGATCTCAAGATGGAGAAGACCTAGATATAACACCAAGCACGGGAACTGTAAAGGAAAAGATTTGAGTACTTTAGAATAATAAAACTTCTCTGTGTTAAAATTCCATAAACAGAATTAAAAGGTGACTGGCAAACAGAAAAATATTGTAACTTACAAGCAAATTTACTTTCCTTACTGTAAAAAGAGGGCATGTGAACACCACCAACAAAAGCGGCCCCCCCCCACCCCCGTGGAAAAAAATGGGCAAACTGGTAATTTATAAAAAGAGGAGCAGGAAACATGAAAAAACTTTCAGCTTTACTAGCAGTACTCCCAGAAATGCAAATCAGTGAGATACTGTTGTTGTTTTTTTAATTGGCGTAGATTAAAAAATGAACTACTTATGGTGAAGGTATGGAGAAATGAGCTCACTCATACCTTGCTAGAAAGAGTGTAATTTAATATGATTTTTTGAGAGCAAAGTACGTAACAAAAGCTTGTAAAATATGTATGTGCTTTGAAATAGCTATTCCATTTCTAAGAATTTAGTCTAAGAAAATACAAAAAAAATGACTACTAGATTAATATTCTGTCCAGGGTGTGCTGTTATTTAACTAATACCCTCTTAAGCATTTGTTTTCGTTTTTTTGCTGTTGTTAAGGATGATTATTTCAGCATTTAGATCAATCTTTAACTTCCATAATACTGTATTTAATGAACATTTAGTTAGTATTAATGATAAAATGCAACATAAAACAACATATGTAAGTAATAGCTAAACTTTATTTTGGTGTGTGAGTATATGCATTTTTTAAAAAGATGAAAACCAGAATGTTAGCATTGATTGTCTCTGAGCAGTGGAGTTATTTTTAGTTTCTCTTAGCAGTAGGTTATTATTTTTTTTTTCCTCCAACTTTCTACAGTGCACATATATTTATAGTACAGTGGATTAATTTATAAAATCAAGAAATCCCAAAACAGGAGAAGCAGGGGAGCTACTTGCAAGGAAGACATTTCTGCTTAGTTTAATGCTGAAATCACTTAGTGTTTGCCGTACTGGCAGCCCCTTTCCAGGTGTGTTGATGCACAGGGTTAAATATCTGACTTCCGTTGGGCTGTATTTCCAGCGGTCAGGTTCTCCTTTGCTGGACTAATCTTCTTCTCATTTATTTCCCCATATCTTAATCCTTCAGATACTTTAGTCCCCTCATTTAATGCCCTCCATGAAACTGTCCTAATCTCATGAAACTGATTGATGTTTTGATGGTTTATTGTAACACTAGATTAGGTACTAATGAATTGTCTTCAGTGTGGAAGTTTCTTTTTTTTAGTAATAGTGTGAACTTTTTTTGCTTAGTTCACAACTCCTAGTGATAGTAGATGTGTTTTAAATTAATCTTTAAACTTAATGTCATTATGCTTAAGATAAGAATTTGCTAAAAATTAGAAAAAGTATTTTGGTCTAGTTTCTGCAGTAGCTTGGAAAATTCAGAGGCTACCATCAATTATTTAAGAAGTGTATGCTAAATAGTACAAATGAGGAATACTGTTGTAATTATGAGAAAACCGTTGCACAGAAACGTGTCACCTAATGCTGGGAGGGGGCACCTTTGCTATGTCGAAATTAATTAAATGCTAACTAAAATAGTTACGTGTGCCTAATAGGCATCCGAAAGTCAGAACGGGGGAAAAAGGCTGACAGCTCAGACCTCCTTTTCTCAAGGCAGGAAGGAGGCTTTGGTGAGACTGGAAGGAAAGGTTTGGAATCCTAGATGATGTCAATAAACCAGACTCTTTGATCCCAAGTGGAATTCAGGGAATAGACATGAAGACTAGGCCATTTCCCCCTCCCCAAACTTCAAGCTTATCTATAGGAACTTGGAGACTTTGGTGTGGGGGATGGTGGAGAAGAAAAATTCCAGACTGATTCTTCTGACTTCTCTCATTTTAAATACGTAAAATCTTTAAAACGTTTGCTTGCCATTTTATCTTACATGCAATAATAACCCTTAGTCTAGGTTGAGCATCCCTAATTTGAAAATCCTAAATCCTCCAGAATCTAAAACTTCCTTAGTTACCAACACGATGTGACAAGTGGATCATTTCACCCCGACCTCATGTGATGGGCCACGGTCAACATGCAGGTGCACAACAGTTTATTCAGTGTCCCCAAGGGGAAAGTAAAATTACCTTCAGGCTGTGTGTATAAGGTCTATATGAAACATGTGAATTCCCCGTTTAGATTTGGATCCCATCCGCAAGATACCTCAAATATTCCAAAATATGAAACAGTCTGAAATTCAAAAGACTTCTGGACCCAAGCATTTCAGATAAAGGATACTCAATTTGTGTTCAGTGCTTGGTATGAGCCAAAGACTGTGCCGAGCTTGCTTTGTGACTCCCTAGCTGCTTGCCCTCAGCTTTCTGCTGCTTGGAGATACCTCAAATGGGACAGAAGGCTGTCTAATGCAGTCCTGGTTGAGGATGGACTTTGACACACAGCATGGGAATATATTACATCAATCATAAAGTAGAGACTACTGAAATGAGAGGGTCTCCTATTTGATGTGTTGATGAAAGGCTACTTGGGCATCTGTGTAGAGTAGGTCCTACCAACAAGGGACTCAAAACACACAAAGGGAAGAAGGGTTAGGAATGCTGAAGACACATACTGAAATTGGCTCTTCAGTAGTGCCTTTGTTACATGTTCTATATATAGGGGACTTTGCCCTATACAGGGTATGTGTGTTGGGGGTGGGGGCGGCGGGGGGCGGGGTGGGTGTTTAATGTCTGCAGTTTAGCTGGGGCTTTACAGGTGAAACGTACTGTATGTGTTCTCTCGACATTATGAAGATTTTGTTTGTTTTGGTCACTGGTATTTTTATAATGGAGCTCTGCCTTACTACTCTACTTGTTTTACTGCATTTTCAGGATTTTTATTTAGGCCAATATTTGGCTGTCTGTGTTCTGTGATATGTAAGGTATGGGAATAGGAGGGAAGATCTGTGAATAAACGTAGGAAATGCCAGGTGGCATATTGAAGGGCCTTTAAAATCTTAATTTGTTTTGCTGCTGTTACAGGGAGATATATCTTATAGGGTATGTATATATGTATACATACCTACATTCATATATATTAAAAGGTCCACTCCTAATTTAATAAGAAATTACCTTTGAAGGAAGAAAACTCCCCTACCATATTAACATGTTTTGTAGAACACATACTGATTTTAAAATCATCGAATGTGGAAAATTAGGTCTTTACAGTAGAGATTTGATATGGAGTGAATTGATGTGTTCATTTTTTTCTCTTGGAACGAGCACCTGGAAATATTCGTGGTTCTTTGTAGCACAGTGTGGGAAGTGCCATAGAGGCCAGGATCCTAATGAGTATGGTTATAAGTTTAGTGTCTAGAAATAATTTTTGCTTCACCCTAGTCCTTGTTTAAATCCTAAATACTATCAGAGGAATTATATTAAAAAAATTTTAAAGCATATGGGAGACAACACAATCAAAGCCTGTGTCATTTACATGTTATTGGTGGTGTCATGTTGAGATCACTTTTTATTTTTTTAAATAATAATTTTTTTTTTAAGTTTCAGGGTACCACAGGTTCGTTACATAGGTAAACGTGTGCCATGGTGGTTTGCTGCACCGATCAACCCATCACCTAGGTATTAAGCCCTGCATACATTAGCTGTTTTCCCTGGTGTTGGTCCCCACACCTTCCCTGACAGGCCCCAGTGAGTGTTGTGCCCTTCCCGGTGTCCATGGAGAACACTTTTTAAACCTGTAAAATAATGGTTTAACTACAAAGTTGTTTCACATTTTTTCTTTAAAAATCTAAAACTTCCTGGGTTTTAAAAGCATCTCAATACTTCTCTTGAAGGCACTCTTAGATTTGTACTTGATTCATTAGATTGGTTCTCTTGCATTTCCAATTCATGGTTTCCAGAGGGTGAACGCTGTTCTCAGGATGTCTTGCGTTAGAGGAGTTTAGGAAGCATCACCAGGTCTGTTCTCCAGTGTCCCCTTCTGAGTAGGGGCCACATCGCTCATTTCCCAGACTTGTGGACCAGGTTACCTTTCTTTTTTCTTGGGTGACCTCCTGAGGTTAGGGTTCTGTGCAGAATACTTGCTGTTCCAGTTCATCTTATCTTTTCTAACTCTTCATGAGCATTCAGGAGATAGCTTTAACTTGATCCTCTCTTCTAGTCTTTTTTGCTTTGTGGTTTCTCAGTTTTTTCAGGTTAAGCAATTCTCAGCAACTTCAGCTGAGAGCCTTGCAGTCCTGCTAATAGCCTTCAGGGCTTTTGCATTTGACTAACCTGGCCTTTCTTCCAACTTGGCTTGCCCCAAACTGATCTCTTTTTTGCTCCCTAGACCATATCCGACATCTCTATTTCTAGCGTTGTGTCAGAGACACAGATTTCAGACTTGACTTCTTTTGTTTGTCCATATTCAGTGATCTACCAAATCTTACTAGTTCCTCCCCCATAACACTATGTGTTTATACCTTCCTCTTTGGCCCCGCTGTCACCAGCTTCATTCTGCCCTCACGCCTGGCGATGCAGTGCGCTGCTGATTGCTGCTTCATTCAGGACTTGCCTGGCTTCCTTGATTACAGAGGCTCTCCAGGGCAGGTATTGGGCTGCTAGCATTTGATAGAGTGGGCTCTGCTCTTTGTCTTTGCAGCCCTTTGCCACAACCATCCTATCTCATCTTCATAAGCTTAAAAAAATCCTGAAAATCTAGCTGTGTGTATCATGCTAACATGCTTTTTAAAAAAACTGGCTCTGCTGCAATTTTCACTTGAAAGTAGCTGGATGTTGGTTCTGGGTATTTGTCTCTATCTCAGCTCTTCAAACTGGGAATGTGATTTCTAGTAACAACATTTAGCAAAATTTCAACAAAGCAACCAATTTGCGGAAGTTGTGTTAACTTTGAGGTTTTGCCATAATAAATTATAAATGTTGGAATTTTTCTATTGATAAGGCTAACTTGTGGAAAACTGATTAAATAATTCACTGATTATAACCAGCAAACCATATATTACACTAAAGTTTTGTTTCAAAAATATGGATATTGTGGAAGATGAGTATCCACATAGCTTTTTATGGTAAACATAGGTGAGCGTGTATGTGTAACTAGGATAGTGATTCCCTTAATAGTTATAGGAAAAGTGATTCTAAAAAGCATTCTGACGCCTCTCTTGGCGGCAGTGAATGAAACTACAGTTTCACATTAAAAAGAGTACTTTCCCCGCCAAAAATGCAGAGGAGGATTTGTTTTACTGACAATTGAGTACAGGCCAAACTGCGTATATGCGCATACATACTCTGGGCTTTGTGTGTGTGATTTGGCAAAAAGAAAAATAGTCCTAAAGTGTGCATCTCTTTATTCCATTGTATTTATATTTTTCAGAAGTTTATTTATTTGCAGTTTTGATGTGTACATTTTATTTTAGAAAATTGAATGAAGTTTGTGAGATTCAAGTCCTCTAAAGTAAGTTTATTATATATGAGTTCTTGACGATAACAAAACTATGGGGAAAAATCTGGATTTTGTGATGTTAGCATTAGTTCTTTACCTTGTTAAAAATATTAACTATGTTTTCAACTGGGAACATGCATTTATGTTTTTCAAAGTAAGCTACTTGAAGTATAAGCTTAAAAAGCTTGCTTGAGAAAATACACAAGTTAATGTAAATTGTATGAAATAAAAAATATGGACCGACTATTGTTGAGACTTTCCACATGAAACTTAGGCTGGGCAGTGAAGACTATGGTATTGTCCCAGCCACAGCTAGGGTGGTGACAGAAATCAGTAGCAATCTTAACATGCAGGATATTCTTTATGCCTGCTTAAGGTATGGGTTTTGCCAGGCGTGGTGGCTCACGTCTGTAATTTGAATACTTAGAAGGCCGAGGTGGCCGGATTGCTTGAGCTTACGAGTTCGAGACCAGCCTGGGCAACGTAGTGAAACCCCATCTGTACAAAAAATGAAAAGATTAGCCAGGTGTGGTGGCCCACACCTGTGGTCCCAGCTACTTGGGAGGCTGAGGTGGGGGGATCGCTTGAGCCCTAGAGGGAGGGAGATGTTGCAGTGAGCCGAGGTGGCACCATTTCACTCCAGCCTGAGTGACAGAGTGAAACCCTGTGTCAAAAATAAATAAGTAAAATATGGGTTTAAGTTATTGTTGATGCTTTTGTGTCTCTGCCCCTTAGCAATAACCTCCAAAACCCACCACTCTTAGGGTGACAAATAAATACAAATTGTACAGACCATGAGGGAAATTGACTAGAAAATTTTGTAACTACAAAGAAAGGTGCATCTTGACTAGGGGCATTACTATAAAAAATACCAGTGGGCCGGGCGCGGTACGCCTGTAATCCCAGCACTTTGGGAGGCCAAGGCGAGCGGATCACCTGAGGTCAGGAGTTCGAGACCAGCCTGACCAACATGTAGAAACCCCGTCTCTACTAAAAATACAAAATTAGCCAGGCATGGTGGTGCATGCCTGTAATCCCAGCTACTCAGGAGGCTGAGGCAGGAGAATCGCTTGAACCCGGGAGGCGGAGGTTGTGGCGAGCCGAGATCACGCCACTACATTCCAGCCTGGGCGGACAGAGCGAGACTCCGTCTCAGAAAAAATACGAGCAAATGTAAATGTCTAGAGGCTTACTGCTGTTTCGGAATCATAAGTGAAGCTGATGCTACAGGTTTTACCACATTTTCTCCTTTTTTTTTTTTGGTTGGGGTTTCGCTGTTGTCTCCTAGGCTGGAGTGCAATGGCACGATCTCAGCTCACTGCAACCCCCGCCTTCTGGTTGGTTTTCAAGCAATTCTCCTGCGTCAGCCTCCCAAGTAGCTAGGATTAAAGGCGCCCACCACCATGCCCGGCTAATTTTTTTTGTGTGTTTTTAGTAGGGACGGGTTTCACCATGTTGGTCAGGCTGGTCTCGAACTCCTGACCTCAGGTGATCTGCCCGCCTCGGCCTCCCAAAGTACTGAGATTACAGGCAGGAGCCATCGTGCCCAGCCCACATTTTCTCCTTTATTATAGGTATGGCCAGATTGTTTTGAGACAGAGTGGGAAGCAAAATTTAAAAAGTCCCCTTCCCAAAAGAACCCTGCTTCTTATTGAATGTTGTCATCGAGTTACAGATTTTTGTGAGCTCAGAAGACATACTCAAATCATTGAGAAACTGTTTTTCCAAATTATTTATTCTTGACTGATTTAAATGTACACTTCTGTGCATATATGTTTCTCCTCATACTCTCTCCCCAGTGTCCATAATTTCGGAAAATACTAAAAAGTTCTTAGTACTTGATGTTGTAATAGCTAGTAAGGAAATTTTCAGCAAGATGCTTTTTAGCAAATGCAGCATTGAACATATGTGCAGAGAATGGGGGTGCAAATCTGACAGGTGGAACCACAGGTGCGGTGGGTGACATCACTCACTGTGAGCCTTGAGTGGTTCAGGGACCACGGGGGACATGTGTCAGGAGCATCTTACCAGAAAGAGGTGTCGCTTAACTGTGCCCAGTTCCTTCAGGAGAGCGGTTAAAGTGGTAAATTGTCTTTAAAACAAAAAACATAAAAGCCCTAAATCAAATAAAGAGCACGGTAGCGCCGTTTCTCCTTTTGAACCAGTTTGTAGTGAAACGGGAAGTGTATTTGAAAGTTTGCTCAGCTAGGGAAAATTACTGATCAGAGTTTTCGACTCAGGGTTAAATTATCTTAGTCGAAAGAAAAATAATAGAAAGGGGTGTCTTATTGATGAATAGATTCATGTTCACTTAGTGATACACTAGCTTCCAAAATCTGCTTATTGAGCAGATACTTATTCAAGGCCCCACAATCAACTGCAGGGCAAACGGTTCACCACACATGAGGGAAATTTGGAAATTAGTTGAAGAGGATTGTGGGAACTGTGAATTGAGATTGTTCATCTAAATGGGAGTTAATAGCGTTTGTGGTTGACTAAGGGCATCCTTTACGGAAGTGGACCTCACGTGCACACCTCACTGGGAGAGGGAGAGACCTGCCAGGAGGTGCACATCTGGCCTTCCACGCTTAGTGGCCTGAGGATGTTTCCCTGGGGCACCACTTCCACAGGCCCTCTAAAAGGAGGGCAGAATGGCTTGCTGTTTGTATCTTTGTATTTGTGTTAAGCTGGGTTCTGAAAATACAGTGGTGCCAAGACAGAAGAGAAACTTTTTGGATGCTGATGTGCAGTGAAAGCTCTCCAGTAGCGGCTTTTCCAAAGTCAGTGGGTTTCATACAACAGCATCCCATTCATTCACTAGCAAGAGAGCTAGGAAGTCCTGTGGAGCTGGTGTTTTAAAGTATTCTGTTAAACATGTATTTCATGGTAGAATGAAAGATTCATGTGAATTTTAAGATAGAGTGATATTTCAAGGAAAATTTAACTCTGTCACAGCTTAGGCTGGATCCCCAGGTCTGTCCCGATACAAAGGATTCCTCCACCCTGTGCTGAAAGTTACATTTTGGTGGGAATTTTAGAGAAGTGCCACCTCTGGTGTCATCAGTTATCAAAGGTATTGTGGAGTTTTCAGGTAACGTTAATTTACTTCATTTTGACTTCAAAAATAAGCATGGGTGGTTTAACATTTAAATACTATCTTAGGAATTGCATAGATATTAGAAACCCTTTATAGTAGTGTTAACATGAATAGTAGCAAATGCTTACCGTGTGTCAAGGACTCTGCTAAGCATTTTATTTTCGTAACTCACTTATTCCTCATAGCCACCTTATACAACAGGTACTACAGTATTATCTCTAGTACAGATGATGAAATACAGGCGCAGAAGTTAAGGAATCTGACCAAGCTCACACTGCCAGTGACTTGTGGAGCCAGAACTGTGAAGTTCACAGACATCCCACGCATTTCCATATTAGCTGTTTGCAATTTGTCACTGTGTACTGTCAATCAGTGCCTCTTGAATTATTTCTTTAGTAAAATATTTTTTGTGGGATAACCCAGCACCCACACAGACATAACTGGGAAAAAAAAATGCACTGAGTAATACTTAACCTTGTTACATTCTATGAGCTCTTTTTCTTTATTTGATTTTTTAAAAAGTTCCAGTTCCCTTTTACTAAGTTGGTTTCATGATCTACACAATAATGAATTGCAGCCCTCAGTTTGAAAAGCATGTGTGGTGTAGATGATCATGATCAAATGTAATACCGTTTTTTCTTGCCCTAAAGTGAATGCAAGTACTTGGAAACAAAATACACGCAAGTACCAATCTAGACCATTGAGTAAGCATGATTTAATCTAGGTAATTGAGTAAAAGCATTGTGCTGAAACTGAGAACTGATACTCAGTCCTCAGCAGTTAAAACTAGTTTATTTGGACAAACTGGGCAGTCTTTATAACACCTGTTAAATATAATGTGATTGTGATTTTCTGTAAGTTTTCAGGTTTTCCGGAGCAATTTATACCAGTGACGCTTGTGGCATCTTACTTGGAAGTCATGTAGTAAAATAGGAAGAATATAGATGTTGACTTAATTAAGATTCATTTCTGAATTGAGCAATATTTAAGGCATTTAGTGCTTGTGTGTGGATTTTTTAGGATTTAAAAGGACCTTCCTCTATTACTTATTCAAGTATCAACTCTAAGAGAAAAAAAATTGTTTTCTAATTCCTAAGATGTTTATAGGAGAAAATTCTGTACTTCTGGGTAATGATATGTGAGAATTCTTGTAATTACAAAATGTGTGTATTTGAAGGAATGAATTAAATTAGCATGTGTGTGTATTTTATATTATATATATATTTTTTGAGATGGAGTCTCATTCTGTCGCCTAGGCTAGAGTGCAGTGGTGCAATCTCGGCTCACTGCAACCTCCACCTTCTGGGTTCAAGTGATTCTCCTGCTTCAGCCTCCCAAGTAGCTGTGACTACAGGTGTGTGCCACCACACCAGGCAAATTTTTGTATTTTTAGTAGAGATGGGGTTTCACCATGTTGGCCAGGTCTTGAACTCCTGACCTCAGGTGATCCACCTGCCTCGGCCTCCCAAAGTTCTGGGATTACAGGCGTGAGCCACCACGCCTGGCTGCATGTGTGTATATTTATATAATTAGAAGGACAAAGATTGATCACAACGAGAAGCCTGCTATATCCATTTAGTAAAACTTTGAGGCTCTACTAATTTATTCTTTATAGCAATTCTGAGAAGTCGGTATTTTGGTGTTTAATTCCCACTCCCAGCTTTATTAAGGTATAATTGACAAAACATAATAGCATGCAACCTGATGATTTGATATATGTACGCTGCACATCATGAAATGATTAAATCAAGTTAATTATATCCATCACCTCACATACTTAACATTTTTTTGTGGTAAGAACTTTTAAGATGTACTATAAGCAGTTTTTTCTCTTTTGTTTTGCTTTTAAGCAATTTTCAGTTTTCAAAATACAGTACATTATTATTAACTGGAGTCACCATGCTGGGTGCTGGATCTCCTGAGCTTATTCCTCCTATCTAACTGAGACTTCGCACCTTTGACCAGTATCTCCCCATCCCCCTCCTTGGTGCTTGATTTTTTAAGGAAAACTTAAAAATGAATGAACAGAATTAGAATTGGCCTTATAGAAAGAACCAATGTCCCTTCTAAGAGAATCTGAATAGCAGTGCTGGCTGGTTTGGAGTCTGTCTGTCTTCTCTGTAGTGATAGGTGTGGTATTTTCTCATTGCCATCTCGTGGTGATCTGAGTGGGTGTCATCTTGTTGAGGTTGCCAAAGGGACTCATTTTAGAGGGCAGTGGAAAGCATGAACACACCTGGGCAGAACATGGTCGTCTTTATACCAGACTTTGAATCCAGGGTTGCATACCTCCAGCTGAGAGACATGCACAGAAGTTCTGTTGTGAGACTTCTGCTGTAAGTAAGTATCATTGGTTGTACTTTGTTTTTTGTTTGTTTGTTTGTTTTGTGTGTGAGAGGGTCTTGCCCTGTCCCTCAGGATGGAATGTGGTCACATGATCACAGTCCACAGCAGCCTGGAACTCATGGGCCCAAGCCCTCCTCCTGCCTCAGCCTCCCAAGTTGTATCTTATTTTTGAATAAGGTATGTGGTTTTGGAAGACATGATGTTTGTCATGTCTGTTCATTTGCAAGTTTGTTGTAATTATGCTTGTATACTGGCTTTAGAATTTAAAAGGAAAATTCATTTCTCATTCCTACCCATCATTGTATCATGGTGAATGGGGTAATAAGTCATCACGTTCTCTGAGTCAGTCCTGAGGATCCTCTTGTGACAGCAATGTTGGGAGAGGCAGGTATCTGGTGATTTCTGCTAGCAACAGAGTCCACCATTGTCTTCTCACCATCGTGTTGAGCGAGTCGTTTCCATTTCTACTTGGCTGCAGCCAGGTTTCATTGCTTTCTACTCGTTCAGAGCTATGTTCTTGAAGGCCGTGGCTCCTGGCACTTACCACAGTCAGTGACTTTTCATAATAGACCTTTTCCTTGATTTACCTTCAACCTTAACACTGTCGAACTAAAAGTTTCATGGATGAGCCTCCTTTGGCTTGCCTTCTGTCCTCCTGGTTCTCTTATATATTCTGTCTCTTGCAAGCATTCTCTCTCCTTTTTGGGAGGGGTGGGAGGCAAGGGACTACTTTGCCCACGTCCTTTAAGCACAAAATTTTAGTCCTCATCTCTATTAAGTTCTTTCTTCACACTTTGAAGATTTTTGTTTGCGCTGTTGCCAACAATTTTACTTTTTTGTCAGTTACTAAATTTATTTCTACAGGTGTGATTTCCTTTGGGCTACAATTTTTAAACTGCCAACCTTTAAAAAAAACACATTCAACTTATCTAAAATTAAGCTCTTCATCTTCTTTCTAGTTTCAGGCTTCTTCTCGTAACTTATCTATTTCTGTTAATCCTCACTTTCTTATATAGAGTTGTTCCTCTCTAACTCCCTTTACTCCTGGGGTTTTGCTAGTATGAGAATTTTTAAACTGAGTGTTTAATTTAGTGATACAAAGAATTTCATATAAATACACTTATATGTCTGGATGATCATCCTGTAATCTAGAACTGCCATGATATTTCGTACTTGTGAGTTCATATTTATTTACAATTATATTGTTGCCGGGTAATTACCTAAGACAGAGGCTATAATTGCTTGAGATCCTGCAGGCCACATATGGCTCCAAGATGTTCTTCTAGATTTTACAGTACAACTTTTTGCTTTTTTTAATCATAAAAAATGTCAAAAGTGTAGCAAACATGTCCATTCCTGAGAATTCCACATGCTAACACATGCAGACATCTTCCTATTTAAGATCTAGTAGTTATAGACTTTATATGTAACTACTATAATTTCAAGGTGTTGATGAGCATAAATGATACTGGCATGTCTAGCATGGAATAATGAAAATCTTTGTGATTTCTTGCTGACGAAGTTAGACACTTTGCTAAAAGTACTGCATCTGTTGCCTGCATTCATAATCAAAGGAACTGTCAAATTTCCATCAGAGGTTAGTGAAAATAAAGATGTAATTTTTTGTCCCATCTACATTGAGAAGCCCCCTGAAATCCGCCCATGGACCCCACTGTAGTCTCACTTCCACCCTTCTCCCACACTGTTTTCTCCTTCCGCCATGGGTAACCAATTTTATTAGTGTTCAGTTTAGCCTCCCAATTTTTCTTCTTGAAAAGAAAAATGTATCTACACTTACGTGTTAGTATTTACTCCCATCACACACAAAAGGTGCCTGTTTTCAGTTAAGTGTCTGCTAAGAATTTACTTTCTTATCAGTATGTGGAGGTCCTTTCTTTTTTTCTTAACAGTTTTCATCATTGCGCAGTGCTCTATTGTCCTAACTTAGTCTTCCTGTCCCCTACTGATAGATTTGGGGCTGATTTCAAGTCTTTTGCAGTGACAAAACTTGAATTTACCACTTCTCGTGGCTTTGGCTGCACATTTTGGGAATAGATTCCTAGAAGTGGATTGCTAGGTCAAAGGGTAAATGCATCTGTCATGTTATTAGATCTGGCAAATTCCTGTTCTTACCATGGAACATTTCTTCAGCAATAGCTATGTTGTTTTGAATTTTGTTTTTCATTTTTGTTTTGTTTTGTTTTGTTTTGTTTTGTTTTGAGATGGAATCTCGCTCTGTCACCCAGGCTGGAGTGCAGTGGGGTGATCTCTGCTCACTGCAGCCTCCACCTCCAGGGTTCCAGCAATTCTGCCTCAGCCTCCTGGGTAGCTGGGATTACAGCCACCTGCCACCACGCCCGGCTAATTTTTATATTTTTAGTAGAGATGGGGTTTCACCATGTTGGCCAGGCTGGTCGCGAACTCCTGACCTCAGGTGATCTGCCTGCCTGAGCCTTCCAAAGTGCTAGGATTACAGGCTACCATGCCCGGCCTTGTTTTGAATTTTGAAAGTAGTGTCTGACAATTCTGGAATCCAGAAATAAATTGTTGGAAGTTCAAAAGTATAAATTTGAGCCTTTGTCATCCTGAATTCTTTCTTACCTGTGTCACCCCATCCGGTCTGACCAGTTACCACGATAACTGCTTTGTGTCGCCTGTGTCTTGGGCCTCTCTCTTTCCATTGCTGTTGGTCTAAGTTGAGCCGTTATCTCGGTGTCACTTGTCTTCTCCGAAACCTTCCATAACTCTGTCACCCTCACAGAATAAAGACCTTGCATCCTCTTCCCACTGACCCAGCCGCCACCTCTCATGACTTGCCCAAATCCTTCACCGGGCTCCTGTGATCAGTTTTCTGCCTCATGCTTGTCTTCCCTTGGACATCAGCCTCCCTGTACCTCTACTGCTGTTCAAATCCTGCTCATCCTCTGAGAAACGCTCAAAGCACACATTCTGTAAAGGCTTCCTGATCTTGTAGCCTGAAACGACTTCTTTCCCCTATTAACTTGTATTGCCATTTTTGTCTGTATGTTTAATATGGCAGCAAATCATCCATGCCATATGACATCTCTTCCAATACCTGCAGGCAAAACTTTGACATTCGTGTTTTCACCTGTTTATATATTGTTGCAGGGGAGTATAAACCCCTCTCTATTGGTAATGTCTTACATAGCATTTCTTAAAGCTAACTTTCTGGTAGAATACTCAGTAATACTGCTTTTAGCGCTGATACCAAGACCCATATGTACACAGAACCTGGTTGTCTTGGAGAGATGCATTCCTTTCTGTGAATGAACTGAATTTGAACCATAAGATTTACAGCTAGCATGCTTTAAGTCTGTTCTTTGTTTTTTCTTAACAACTTTATTGAGATTTAATGCACATGCTATAAAAGTCACTCATTTAAAATGTATAATTCAGTGATGTTTAGTAAAGTTAGAGTTGTGTGGCCATCACTACAATGCAATTTTAGAACATTTCCATCACCCTGTAAAGATCCTTTGTGTCTCTTTGCCGTCACTCCCCATTCCCACCATCCCCACAACCCCAGGCAGCTACTAACCTGCTTTGTCTCTATAGATTTGCCTATTCTGGACATTTCATGTAATAAATGGAGTCATATGATACGTGGTGTTTTGCATCTGGCATTCATTTAGTGTTAATATTTTTGAGGTTCATCCACGCTGCATCAGTACTTGATTTTTTTTTTATTGCCAAATAGTCTGACTACTTGGCATTATTGTGTGAGTGCCTCACATTTTGCTTATCCATTCACCTGTTGGTGGACATTTGTGTTATTCCACTTTGGGGCTATTATAAAGTGCTGTGAACATTCATGTACAAGTCTTTGGGTGGATGTATGATTTTTTTTGTTTTTGGGGGGTAGATATCTGGTAGAATAATGGGGCATGTGACAGATTTATGTTGAGTGAACATGGTTTTTAATGCCGCAGATGTTTAATTATTAGCTTTGGGTAACAACAGGAACCAGGCAATGCAAGCATATGTGATAAATTCAAGTCTTGAGAATTTGACTTGGAATTCGTTATTTGAGAAGCAGAAACCATTTCTTAATTTGAGTATGTGTTTATTTTTATTTCTCTGACTTTAGAGCCAGTGGACTTAAAGGTTTAGAATGGCTTTAAGTAAGTAGAGAGAAAACTTAGCTACTGTTGGCCGGGCGCAGTGGCTCACACCTGTAATCCCAGCACTTTGGGAGGCCGAGGCGGGCGGATCACGAGTTCAGGAGATCGAGACCATCCTGGCTAACATGGTGAAACCCCGTCTCTACTAAAAATACAAAAAATTAGCCAGGCGCGGTGGCGGGCACCTATAGTCCCAGCTACTCGGGAGGCTGAGGCAGGAGAATGGCGTGAACCCGGGAGGCGGAGCTTGCAGTGAGCCAAGATTGCGCCACTGCACTCCAGCCTTGGTGACAGAGCGAGACTTCGTCAAAAAAAAAAAATAAAATAACTTAGCTACTGTCTCTAGGAAGCCATCTATTAGGGTGTTAGTTGAAATTTTTTTATGCTGCTTGTCAATTTTAATTGTTTGAATGAGAGTTTCCATAGTTTTATATAGAAAGGGATAGCATAAATCTTATAAATAAGTGCAAATTTTTCAAGCC
Source organism: Homo sapiens (assembly GCF_000001405.40). Taxonomy (NCBI): domain Eukaryota; kingdom Metazoa; phylum Chordata; class Mammalia; order Primates; family Hominidae; genus Homo; species Homo sapiens. The sequence continues at coordinate 148,719,483 of NC_000007.14, forward strand.
TTGAATTTCAGTAACGAACTTATGAAGTCTTATCTAATTAGATAATCCTTCTTGGTAGATGTCCAAATACTGAATGCACAGGTTCTTGGTCTATATTTACAAGATGCTGGTCCCTGTCCTGGCATCTTTAGTTAAAGAATTTTCTTGATTAAAAACTGTAGAATAATACAACATTCAAATAGTAACCAGCGAAGATCCAACAAAGTAGAGCTTTAACTAGCTTTGGACATGTAAATATAAATAAAAGGCAAGCTCATGAATTCGCTAGTTCTTCCCTGAACTATTCGTTGGCAGCAGTTTGGACGTGTCATTACGTATTCATATCATGAAGCTTTCACCTGTCTTTTTGCATGCTTCCTTTTGAAGCCAGGTTGTAATGTCAAATGCAGGAGTAACTCTTGGTAGCACACTTCTTAAGGAGGTGGAATGAGAAACTCCTACCTTCTAAGGAAGCAGCATGGGTAACACCTCTGAGCCTGGGCTTCCTCATTTGTGAAACGTAGCTTGTACATGCAGAGAATATACTTACTGTGAGGAGTAAATCAGTGAAAGCATTAAAGCTGTTGTACAGAGTCTAGCGTAGCAGCTACAGTAAATATTAACTCCTTTCTTTATATAGTTAATAAGCTGACATGGAACAGTTGTACTCAGTGGACATTCTGGAGGTGCCATGGGTGTGGGTAAATAAAACGCAGCGTATAGAAGAAGGTCCCTGCAGTTCATTCAGTTAACAGAGTGAGTGCCTGTTTGTGTTTTAGAAATTGTGGGGCAACAATATGGAGGATGGATTGGAGGGGACGAGGCCAGTGAAGACCCTTTAGTTAGTGAGCCAGATGGGAGTTAATAATGCCTAGACTCCGGCAGTTGGGAGTGTAAAGAGAAGTAGGATAAGAAGGAGATAGAATTCATAGAACTGATTTTTCATCAGGGGTAAGAATAGAGAGGAATCAAAGCTGATGGGAAATGCAGAAGGGGGAGTGAGTTTGAAGGGAGAGAGACCAGTCCAGAGGCTAAGCATGACCCTCAGTTGAAAGTCTTGGTAGAGGGAATGGGGAGGAAAAGTGAGATTGCACGCAACATGAGGAAAATAGATAGGATTAGATATTTGGGCAGTTAGTAGAGAGGGTGGTGCTTTCGTAACTCCTAGGATTCCAAGCTGGGCAGCTGAGGCTTCTGACAACTAAGTCAGGAAGAAAGGCAGGGAGAGAGGAGTTCTGTGTTGAACTTGTGAGTCTGTGGCTTTTGGAAGATCCAGCGGAAGGAGGAGGAAGAGCTAGAGTGAGGAGCAGCTTGGAGTTGTCGTCGAGGGTTGAGCAAAGTAGAAGGTGCCACAACAGATCTGGTGGCTTGTTGCTGGTTTCTTACTCCTGAAATTATTAACTTGAAACTGTAGAAATGTATTATTAAAATCCTCAACAGAGGTTTTTGTTACATGAATATATAGCCTAAAGCTTCAGTTTTCTTGCCTAGGCAGTTTTACCTAATATTGGCTGTACACTTAAAACTCAGGTTGGCTGTATTAGCCTCTTTTCTTTTCAGGCATTCCATTCATTTAAAACTTAAAGGGAATTTAATAATTTCTTGTGGAATTCAAGAATTTCTGAGCTTGAACTTTCCAGTCTCAGTTCTGAGTGGCTTAGAGTATCCTTTAACGTGCTAAATTGTTTTCTTATGTATGTAGCAAATAGATCACAAGAGAACATAGCATGTTCCATGTTAAGAAGCAAGCTTACTACTGCAGTGAACACCCGCCAACCCATTCCCCACTAAGAAATAGAGTATTTCCAGTACTGTGGAAGCTCCCTGAGCACTTCTTCCCAAACCCATCGTTACCCCACAATATTTTAATTGCCTGCCCCTCACCCTAAATGCTTTTGCTTTTCTATTTTTACTTATGCTATATAGGTTTGCTGAGGTTTTTGTTAGCTTTTTATTATGGAAAGTAGAAACTGCAGTGTACCTGTCTCTCAGCTTTTTTTTTTCTCTGCAAAATTTTAAAGTAAATCCCAGGCATCATATCATTTCAATCACAAAAATATGTATCCCTAGCTAGTATATATATTTTTCAACATATGTACAATGAAACCACAGTAGCCAGTGTTTTAAGCAGATAAGTGTGTGTGGTTCACTGTGGTGCCTTCCATTCATGTCGGGGAGAGCTAACCTCTCCCTTCGTAGAAGTACTCTTTTAAAATTAATCTTAGATATAAAAATGATATACTGTATATATTCCTTTGTCACCTTTTTTTTTCACTCAAGACTCCAGGAATTCACTTGTGTTGAAGCGTGTAGCTGAAGTTGGCTCATTTTGTGTGGTCTGTTGTGTGACTGTCCTACTGCTTAGTTGTGAATTCTCCTGTTGGTGGACATGTGGGTTGTTTCCAGGTTTGTTTGTGTTTTGCTATTATAAACAGTGCAGCAAATGCATGTGTTTGCATATTTTCTGGCGTTCATATACAAGAGTTTCTGTAAGTCTAAATTGTTTTACTGTCGGTTTCATATCTTATGTGCCACACTGCAAGTAAAAGCTTAAAATTCTTAAAGTTTTAATAAGTTATATTCTGCTCTACTGTATATTTAGGAATTATCAAAGGAGTGAGATTAGGAAAATACATAAGGTGTAATTGGTTAGATAGGTGATGAAGAAATGCTTGGCCCTGTCCAGTCTTGGGACCATGGCTGAACCTTGCAAAGCAGAAGCTCTTCCTTCCTGAAGCTGGAGGTTTGAATCCTCAGTGGCTCTCCCTGTGGTCACCGACTAACACAGGCCATCAGGTCATCTTTCTGTCATCTGCACTAACGAATGCCCTCAGCTGCCTGCTACATCCTCGGATTGGGACTCCCCACTCCACTCCCCTCACTTCTTTACCCACCTCAGTTCTTGGACCTCTCTAGAGTCCTCATCCATGAATGCGAAACTCCTCCATAGCCGCTTCTCACACTGCTTCAACCCCATTGCTCTTCCATAAAGACCAAGACCCCTTAAAGCCCTCTCCAGATGTGGCTGTTCCTGTCCCCCGCCATCCTGCAGGCCTCCAGGCTGCAGGCAGGGGTCCACCTCCTCCTCATGCGGGTTGACAGCCGTAGACCCAGAGAAAGACTCTGGAGTTCCTCTCTGCACTAGCCATTTCTATCCCTACAGTGGTCATCTGCTAACCACCAGAGTTCAGAAATTAATTGGACACTTTGGCACAGCCCAGAACCTTCCTCTCCACTCCTGAAACCTATTATTGGAGATGGTTGCAGGCCACCCCAGGCTTCAGCCTTGTTTCCTTGAGCTGTGTTTTGTTCTAGTCATTTGCAGGTGGGGCCCTGCTGAGCCTTCCCAGCTGGACTGTGGCACTCCCACAGTGCCCCTTGATTGAGAACCCTCTTCCCAGCCAGAGGCAGGAAGAGGACGAGGCACATGAGCCTGGTTGGCATCATGCCCTAATCATGCCCTTTGCAGCCTTCTTACTCCTTCACAGCCCACATGCTCAAGGTCGTCTGTCTTTTCTGTCCCTCCCCACCTGTTCCAGTTAGATTTCTACTAAAGTAATAGTTAGCATTTTTGAAACAGTGTTGGCTTGTTTAATCCTCACCACAAACCCATGAGGTGGGTTAAGAGAGATGAAAGAACTTACAAGGTCACACAGTTTTACGCAACTGCTGCCTTTTCTTCTCTTGGCTTCCAGGCTTGGGTTCCTTCTCTTTGTGTCTGGCTGTACCTTTGCAGTTACAAACTCTATGGGTTCTCCATCATCTTGTCAGTTTTTAAATGTTACTCAGGACTCAGTTTGGGCCGTCTGTCTGCCGTATTCCCCTGAGGAACTGTGGTTCCCAGGATCAGGTGGTAAACCCCAGAGATCAGCTGTGTAGGGCCACCTTCTCTTCTGTGCTGAGGCCCTGTGTGTCCAGCTGCTTGGGATGATTCACAAGGACCTCAGGTTCACACATCCAAGGACAACTGCCCTCCTGTAGAGCTGTTCCTCTCTGATGTTTGCTGTCTTGGTAGATGGCATCATAGTCAATATCATATTTATCAGATAGGTACATACAGGTGTTTATCAATCACTCAAGTAAGCAAAAAGTAAATACTTATAAGGCTGCTTGTTGCAGTATTATAATTGTTAAAAAGTAAATACTTGAAAGCTTTTTGTTAGGTACTGTTATTGATAAATAATAGAATATATGACTCACCAAAAAAAAAAAAGAGGTATATTTCATTAAGTGAAGTGAGGTATATCATTTTTAAATGAAAAAAGTTGCCGAACCAGTGTGCGATTGATCCCCAAAGAGCTAGAAGTCAGTAGGGGTCAGCACAGATCTTTTTTTTTTTTTCTTTTTAAAGCCATGTTCCTTGAAATACTGGAGTTTTCTTGAATTACTACTGGTCTCAAGATACGTTCAGGAAAAAATATTTCATGGCTAAGTAAGTTTGAGGGAAGATGTTTTATACTGTGTTTTTCTGATGGAAATTCATAAGACACGTTCACTTATCAAGACCTCTGAAGTCTTCTAGCAAACAAAGTATTTAACTTCACTAAAGCTAGTCATCCCTTGATGTTCAGTTCAGTTGATGTTGCAATTAGTGTTTAGTGGAAGACTGTTGTAAGTGCTCTTTTTCAAAAGCCCTTCCAGTATGTATGGATGAAACTGAATTACTAATATCAAAGAAGATATATTTTTCAGGAGTTTTGCAGGTCATTTAGTTCACACTTCTACTCAGTGAAGGAATCTTATGCACCGTTAATCTTGAGAAACAGCCTGTTTGATTAGTTCACAGTTGGAATTGTTAGGGAGCTTGTTTCATATTGATTCTGTTGGCTTTCATCTTCTTTTGGAATAACAGTCTTTTCTGTGAGACAAGTTCTTAAATATATGACTGCTTTTCTTCTGTTAGACCTGTTTATTTTGACTGTTGTGTTCCATTATTTTCCAAGGGTTAGATGAAAGTGAAGTATAACTGTGGCGCGTGTGTGTGTCTGCACGCGTGTGTGTCTGTGGTAAAAACTCATGCGGGCTCCGGGAGCCAGCAGCTAGTGTGTGTGTGGAAGCACAGCTGGCTCTGCCATTGCTTCTTGTCCTTGACTAATTGCATCTTCTGCCTTGGTTTCCTGTCAAGAAAATGATAATCCCTCTCCGGGGATTGGCCGTCTAGAGAACACTGAAGTTGTGAGGGGCCCTGTGGCTGCCCCTGCTGTCGTCCTGCTTCACTCACCAGCCACCTGTGTGTCCAAGTCAGGAGGTGGCACATCTGCAGGGTACACGCCCGAAACGCGTGGACATTCATAACCACACTTGGCAACTCCTGCGATGCCAAGGATCTCCTATACCTGAGTACTTTTGAAAACTACCTGATTTCCTAAGTATATTTTGTTTTTTTGTTTGTTTTTTGTTTGTTTTTAATATCTTTAGGTTTGGGGACCTCCTAGGTTTTCTAGCTATGAGACATGATTTATGAGGAAAATATTTTTACCCCTTACCTAAAAACCATTTGAACCTCTCTGACTTATGAAATCTGCTTAAGAGTGACATTTTTTGATGGCTTGATTATAAGATATGGATATATAGTTTGTAAAGTAAAATTCAACATTAACAGAGAAGCAAGTGTTTTGTGGGCACCTGTATTCTATTTTATTGTCCCAGGCAGTTTTACAATCAGTTCAGTTCACCAGACACTTGAGTGACGCATCAATAGATTAAGCATGGGCATGCAGCGCACATGCGCGCGTGTACACACACACACACGCGCGCGCTCACACACACACACACACACACACACACCCGTACCCCTCTAAACTGGAAAACTTCATTGCCTGAGCCTCTTGTATCCATTGGAGCAGGCTGGTAGATACACAGGTGACACACCCAGATGCCCCTTCAAGGAAGGACTTGACTCCCAGTGTTAGCGCCATCGGGCCTCAGCTGCAGAGCTGCCTGGACCGGGCTGCACCCTTCTCAGCCCAGCGGGAGTTAAAGGCCTGGCCTGCAGCCCATGTGAGACCCTCTGGCAACGCTTGTTACAGAGTTCCCTGCCAGGGTGATGCTGGCTCTATAGGGCCTACATCACAGTTCATCTTTTCTCTGCCCCGTCTGCTTCCTCCTTGTCATCTCGTGGGTGCCCATCTCTAAGAAGCATCTTCCACCCAAGCCAGGTCTCAGCATCTGCTCCGAGAGCCCTGCCTGGGACCTCCTCACAGGTCTCTGTTGCTGCCCAGCATGTGTGTGACCTATCTGTCCTTTTAGACATTTTCATGATGTGCCTACTTCTAACATTTCCTTGTAGACGTTGTTTGAGGTTTCTTTGCTGTATTAGTTATTAATGTTTTAAGTACATAGGTGAGGCTCTTTAGGGGATATCAAAAATGTAAGATTAGGTCATCCTCTTTAAACCCGCCCACTTAAGTATGAATTTTTGAAAACCTCAGATCATCTGTGCATGAATTTTAGATACTCAGTGGGAACAACTAGAAAAAGGGAATGGATAGAGAAGAATAAATCACATAGCAGCAGGAATAGAAGATTTTGCTAATTTTTCAGCATATTTGGAATATAAACTGAGGTGTGATGTGGCATAAAGTTACCATGCATAGATCTGGACACAAAAAGTGTACAGCAAGTAAACTTGACGAGTGTGACATGAAAAGTTGTATTTGATCTCATAGATTAACAGTACGTTTTAATAGAGTAAGATTCATAATTGGAATCAGAAATGTAATAAAAAGAATAGAGAATATGTAAAGAACATATTTGATGTGCTTATGCTGAGACAGGAGAATGGAGGTGTTATGGAGAAAAATCCACATTGACCATTTTATTTGGTATATTTTAACTTTGCTAGAGGATAACTGGTATCTTGACTTTATCTTTTAAATTGTCCTGATTGTTGCACAGTTTATCTTGGTTTTTCAAAAGTCAAGCTTTAAAAAAAAAAAAGGGCTTTCTTAAATTTCAAAATATCTGAGTAGATTTAATACTGATACAATTAGGACTGACTTATTAACTCTTTAAAGCTATCGGCTCTTTTAATTGGAGATGTTGAGGTTTCCTCATTTAACAAATAGGCAGTTGTTGGTGGTTTTTTCCTATGACTTACAGTGGTTTCACTGTTTTGACACTTTAAAAACGGAAGAACCTAAAATTCAGACTAGAGTGTACTAGTTTGTGGTCCTGCTACTTTGTAGCATTAGAAGCTTGCCAAGTTTGATTGCTTCTTTGAATTAGTTTCTTCATCTGAAGAGGAAGGGTCAGAACTATCATTAAGGTTAACCTCTAATTGCCAGTGATTGTATTTGGCTCTTAAGAACAAATGCTTTTGGTACACAAATGCATAGCACATAAAGTAACATGACGAAACCCCATCTCTACCAAAAAAAAAAAAAAAAATTTTTTTTTAAATTAGCCAGGCATGGTTGTCCTAACCTGTAGTCCCAGTTACTTGAGAGGCTGAGGTGGAAGGATCACCTGAGCCCAGGGGGTTGAGGCTGCAGTGAGCCGTGATCACGCCACTGCACTCCAGCCTGGGCAACAGAGTGATACCCTATTTAAAAATAAATAAATAAATAAGCATGCTTTATTCCGTCACTGTAGCATTATGAGCGTAGACGATGTCTGTTTACCATTAAGAGTAAATAATGCCTAGGACAGTGCCTGGCATATGGTAGCATCCTACTAAATATTCGTTAAAACTAAGTAGTCACTAAAATCCTGTAATTTTCGTAAGCCTGTTTAAACACTGTGTTGGGGTATGTATACATTTGCAGTGACCAAAATAATACAAAACATGACTAAATGAAACAGCAAGACATAAATTTTAGCCCAGAATCCAATATTTTAAGGAAAAAGTTTAGAAGAAACGAGATAGAATTTTGTAGAGATTCTAAAGAGGGATTTTGAGCAAGTTCAGATGCTTGATGATACTGGTATTTTATTCCTAAATCTTTTTAAGACATAAAGCTTTTCAATTCCTTGATTTATTCCTTCATTTATTTATGTAAAATATGTATTGAGCGGCATGCCAGGCTCTGTATGAGGTTCTCATGAGCCTGTGGGGCTTGCACCCCGGTGAAGTCAGGGAGTTACAGTAAAGAAACAAGTGCAGGTTTATGGCCTGGAGTAAGTGTTAAGAAGGGAAAATCCCATTTAAAGCAAACCTGTACGTCTTCTGGGACTTCCTAGTAAGCCTCCTTTGAAAGTATGACTGGAAGGCAACTTGAAGAAGGGGAGGAACTCTCTAGAACTCTCTAGGCAGAAGCAGTAGCAGATGCAGAGATCCTGTGGCGGGGAAAGGAGACTGAGGTGGCAAGGGGGGACATCTGTGTGGCTGAACCTGAGGGGAGGGAGGGGGAGAGTTGAGGTTTTGTGAGAGGCAAATGAAGAGAGAAAAGGATCTGATAGTGCCATATTAAGGATTTCCCTTCTTCAGACTCTGCCTTGGCTCCCTGTTGCTCTTAGGGTGACAGCCTATTCAGAATTAGGATGACACCGTCTTAGGATGACAGCGATTTTAGACAGCTGACGGCCATGTCAAGAATGATACAAGCAGACACAAGGTATTGGAATCTAGTTTAGACAACTAAAATAGTCGCCCAGGTAAGAGATGGCGAGGATGATTACTAGAGGAGGAAGTGGAGATGAGCTAATGCATTTGAAATGAAGTCCGTAGCAGTTGAATGTGAAAGATGAGGGCTGTGGCATCAGACTCATTCCCAGGTTTCTGACTTGTGGATACATGTGGCATTGCCACTCGCTGACACGGACAACACTGATGGAGAAAGGCATTTGGGGGCCAGAGTAGAACTTTTTTTTTTTTCAGTTGCTGATAGAAATTATAAGAGAAGGAAAAGGAGTAAAAGAGCATCTAGAGAGGTATGAGAAAGCTCATCCAAGACAGAATTAACTGGACTATGAGTTTGGGAAATTTAAGTGATTATTTCCCCTTAGGGAAAAATTAAGTGATGGGGAAAGTAGGGTAGGTCCAAACAGTTGATGCTATCAGATGCACCACCAGTCCAAAACATGGTTATTATTATAGGTGTGCTGTTAACCCTCCCCAAGTAGATGATGAAAGGAAAGCACATGGAAACTACACATAGGAAACATTTCCAGAGTGGTTGCTGAGTTGTTAGTTTCTTAAAACTTGAGGGAGTCCTTGTGTTAAATATTTTTATATTCCACATTTGAACATACCAATTCGAATGTAAGACATAAAATACTTTCAGGATCAGGAATGATGTTGTAGATTCATAAAATATTAAGACCCATAGCCCAGAATATAAATAAATATTAGAGAATAGGTTTCAGTGGTTCAGACTTACTCCTTAAGCATGACCTCACAGGGTCCCTAAATGTGCCTTAGTTTACACAGAGCTCTGTAATGCCATTGAGGATATAGGATGAGCTGAATTACTTGACAAGGTAACTGGGACATAGGTTTGCAGGCTTTGATAACCTAGCCTCATTGTTCCAGATCTCGTTTACTTCCCAATAACATTTGCTTTATGAAACCATTCAAATAATTCAGTGTTTCTTGATTTACACTAGAAATAACTATTTAAAACCTTTACGTTTTGATGTGACGTACATAGGTAGTCCTTAAATTATGTCTGTGATACTGTGCATTGAGAAGTATTGGTTTGATACAATATTGAATACCTAAGTTACTTTATTTATGTGTCCAAGATGCTGAAGCATTATATATTGTATTTGTCATTATCTTCATATACTTGGAAATAATAGCCACTACCATTGTTAAGCATTTACTCTGTGTTAAGTATTTTCTAATACATTATCTTATTTAAACTCTGCATATCCATTTGAGGAAAGTAATTGGCCTCCATTTTGCAGACTAGGAAATTAGAGCTTAGAGAGGTTAAGAAACTCACCCAGTAGCACATGTACCTATCTAGTAGATGTGGCACTGAGCTTCAAACTCAGGTCTCTCTGAATTCAGAGTACATTTTGAATCTTGATAATTCTTGCCAGATTCCCTCCTTAAAAAGGGAGTGCCTATTTCCTTTTATTTTCAGCCTCACCAACATTTGCATTCTTGCTGAGTTCTAAGTGAAGAGCTACTAAAAGTCATAGGTAACCCGTGAGATTGTATGATTTTTCCTATTTATTAGCTGTTTGTGTTCCTGGGAATTTCCTGAGCATATCCTTTGCCCTTTTTTCTTTGAGTTTGTCTTTCTAATTGTCATCTAGGTCAAGTGATATATATTTTTGATAACTTCCGAAGGCAAAGGAAGGCAACATAGTTGTGCTTGTGCAAACTTTTACCCAGGTTTTCTCTTGAGTGCTGATATCATAATGATTTTGAACTAAAATTCTAAGCGTATTTTTGTACACAGACCATATGGTTAACATGAATGTGTTTGCACATAGAAAGAGAAATGGTCTCTAGAGTGGGCCCTGCAGACTGAGTTTTTCTGTCAGTGTGTCTCACCTTATTACAGTACCCCAGAGACAATCCACTGATTCTCTTTATTTCTTCCTCAGGTTTGCCTGCAATGAGATTTCATTCTCTACATTTAAAGGACATCCTTTCTGAGCTGCTGTGAATAAATTTGGAATGGTACTGTATATTTTCATCTAATGGAGAACTAGCTGTACTTTGAATAAGGATTGCTGCACTGGACGACTTTAGAACATCCCTCACAATGTCGTCAACCCGGAGCCAGAACCCCCACGGCCTGAAGCAGATTGGCCTGGACCAGATCTGGGACGACCTCAGAGCCGGCATCCAGCAGGTGTACACACGGCAGAGCATGGCCAAGTCCAGATATATGGAGCTCTACACGTATCCTCCTGCCTAGCGCAGGTTGATTGCTTAGAGTTTTGATTATTTACTAGTATGACTTATGAATTATTAGAATTTTATATTGTTTTCTCCTCCCAGTTCATCATGTAAAATAATCGCAGGGTTCATTTTTAGCCTTAAGTTTTTGAACAGAGTAGAACTGGTTCATTTTTAGTCAAATGCAGCACTGGGCAGTACAGTCACCACTGGGCACATGTGGCTGTTTACATTTGAAATATTTTAAAGTTCCTTAGGCACACTAGCTGTGTGATTAATAAATAAAACATTTCTGTCATGTAGAAGGTTCCGTTGGGCAAAGCTGGTCTAAAGCAAGGTCCTGAGGTTCTCAGCAGATCATTTGTTTTACGTCCATTTGTTTATATATTGTCTATGACTGCCTTGTGTTATGGGAACAGAGTTAAGTAGTTGTGTCAGAAACAGTTTTGTCCATGAAGCCTAAAATATTTACTACCTGCCCTTTTACAGGAAAAGTTTGTTTACCTGATCAAAAGGGATAGGACATCGAGCAAAAGTTTTCCTGTTATGGCCCTATTTTTTTGTGTTTTTGAGACAAGGTCTCGCTCTGTCACCCAGGCTGGAGTGCAGTGGTATGATCACAGCTCACCGCAGCCTCAACTACCTGCACTCAAGCAATCCTCCCATCTCAGCCTCCCAAGTAGCTGGGACCACAGACACGTGCCACCACACCTGGCCAATTTTTTTTTTATTGTTTATAGAGACAGAGTCTTGCTATGTTGCCCGGGCTGTGGCCCTATTTTTTAAAGTACAGTATTTAAAAAGAATTTTATTCCTTTAGTTTTTGGTCCACGATGTGCATGGGGGACTGTGCTGTGTGCCACAAAGGTGATGAGGGTGGAAAAGATGCGGCTCCCACTATTCGTGTGGTTGGAGATGCACCAGCTAATTTGGAGGCTTTCTTGATTCCATACAAATATGACATTGAAATTAGAGTTAAGCTCACTCAGGAGAGAGGAGATTGCCACTGTTTCTAGGACTTTAAAGTTGCTGATTCAACGGAGCTTCAGGTTTAAAGTCTTCAGGTTTGATAGACTATATCAGTTCTATCAAACTAGTTTTTGTGATATTCCAGTATGTTCTTGCATGTTAATATTTTAGAATCCTAAAAAAAATTTAAGTAGATATAAAACTATGTCAATCTCTGAATTAGCATAAAATGTGTGTTTGCATATTTATACATGTATATACACTTACATATAGAATACTTTTAAAATAATAGCTTTATTGAGATGTAATTATGTACCATAAAATTCAACCTTTTAAAAAGTATACAGTGCAGTGGTTTTTAGTATATTTACAGAGTTTTGCACCTATCACCACCATCTAATTTTAGAACATTTTAATCACCCCAAAACGACACCTTGTACCCATTAGCAGTCACTCCTCATGCCCTCTTCCCCCGAGGCCCTGGCAACTACTCATTTACTTTGTCTCTATGAATTTGCCCATTCTGTACATTTTGCATACATGGAGTCATATGATCTGTGGGCTGCCTATGTGGCTTCTTTGACTGAGCATGCTTGGAGGCTTCATCCTTGTAGCGCGTATCACTGTGTACGTCATTCCTTTCTGTGACTCAGTTGTATAGCTAGTCTACATTTTGTTTGCCCATTGATCAATGATGGACATTTGGGTTATTTCCACCTTTTGACTGTTACTAATACCACTGTAAACATTGTGTGCGAGTTTTTGAGTGGCTCTGTGACTTCTGGTCTCCAGGGTGTGTATGTAGGAGTGGGATTGCAGGGTGCTATGATGGGTAGGTTGCTTTTAAAGAAGATAGAGTCTTTGCCAAGTGAGAAGATATTATGCCCCCAACAGGGTTCTGGCTTGCTAGGTATGGCATTTTCTTAATTCTTGTAGGAAAGCTGAAGGTGGTAGTTCCACTGGTGAGGGAAGACACTGGTGGGATTTCTGATGTACAGGAAGCAGGAGAGCACTGCTCCAGAGCTCAAGGAGGTGTCATTGTTGATCTGTGTCTGGAGAATTTCTTTTTAAAATCCACCTTATTGAGATGTAATTAATATGCCTTGTAAGTCATCCATTTTTTTTTTTTTTTTTTGACAGAGTCTCGCTCTGCCACCCAGGCTAAGTGCAGTGTCATGATCTCGGCTCACTGCAACCTCTGTCTCCCAGGCTTAAACGATCCTCCCATCTCAGCCTTCAAGTGGATGGGACCACAGGCACGCACCATCATGCCCGGCTAATTTTTTTTTTTTTTTCCTAGAGACTTTCACCAAGTTACCCAGGCTGGTCTCAAACTTCTGGGCTCAAGCATTCCGCCTGGCTTGGCCTTCCAAAGGCTGGGATTACAGGTGTGAGCCACCACGTCCAGCCTTGGGAATTTCTTAATGTGTTCTTTTTTAAATCAGGTTGGTCCTTTTTCTGATGGGTTATTTTTGCTCATAAGGCGGTGAGACTTTGTATGCTAGCAGAAGTTACTGAATTCTTGTATTCTACAAATAATTAAATTCGTATAATTTGTAGTTGTTTTGGTACCTGCAACTTTAATTTTTTTTAGGACTGCCTCTCAAATTGGGTAGTTTTTTTTCCAGTTTTGTCTGAGAAATAATAGCTCCATATATTTACAAAAAATTGGAGAATCTAAACCAAGTCTAAAATATCTTTCTTTAATTCTTTAGACATTATAATGAAATAATGGCTACAGCTGTCAGGCTTTGTGCTTGGAACCATCCACACCTCATTAAGCCTTATCTCACCGCGGGCTGGTGGTAGTCACCTTTCTCTGTGGATAAGCTCCAGGAACCTGGTTGTACAGCAGCCAGTGGTGGTGGTGAGGCGGGTCTTAAGGTTCTCAGCAGTCTGACTCTAGAATTGCCTTTAGACACTCTATGTAGTCTTCAGCTACTGTATTTGAATGGATCACATTTCTCAGAGTATTACATTTCTATATTTTCTTTGAGAAGTTGTGAAGAAGTATTTTGATTAACTCTTCAATGTATTAGGGTAGAAGTGAAACAGTAGAGTGTATACTTATGTTTATTAATTGTTGAAAATCATAAAATATAATTTTACCCCCTAACTCTTCACATATCTTTTCAGCATCATTGTGAGAACTGAAAGAATTTTGAGTCATCTGTCATGTTTTTGTAGAGCCATCTTCACTTAAAGCCATTTACGCATAGTACTCTTTGGAATTGCGTATATGTTGCCATTATTGCTGTTTTATTCCAGCCCAGGTTGCATAACAGAGCAGTTTTTCAGAAGTTTTCTCTTACTGGTGTATATTTGGTCATTTTAAAATAATCTCCTAAAGGCTTGCTCGCTGTGACATCTAATACTTGCAGTTGTAAGGTTGTGTTTCAGGGAAGGAGGTGCTTTGGACCGGGGAAGAAGGAGCTGGCAGTGCCTCTCACTGTTCTAGTATCACTCTGCAAAATTAGACATGCCTCATCAGCAGTTGGCAAAGGAAGTGGGTTAGAAAGGAAAACTGGTTGAGAGAAAAAGGAGGGATTCTTTTCCTTCCCATAACTCTGGCTAGTAGTTAACAGCTAGATTTTTACCCATTGTCTATCCTGGAGGAGAAAATTGTGTGTTTTTTTTAGAAAAAGCAACTACTTCTTGCTGTAAAACAAATATTCTTGGAGGCTTTAGGAACCTGTGACATTTGTGGTTGCTGTAGCAGAGAGGTGGGTTATTATACAGCATAAATATTTATCTTGACTTTTCAACTCAAAATGGTGAAAGAAGGGAATTTTGGAAAAGCCAAAAAAAAAAAGAAAAGAAAAGAAAATGACCAGAGCATCTGCAGACAGAAAGATCCACTTTAGTTAACTTGGTTTTCAGCCATTTCTCAGACTTGGTTTTTCTCCTAAAGTTTTAGCCTTAAGCCATCACTCTTCACTGTGAGTCTGTCTGTTAAGCGCTTCCAACTATTCACTTCTAGTTTTCTATGATGTCTTACATGTGTATAGTTACCATGCAGCAACTGTGTGTGTGTGTAAGACAGAGTCTCACTCTGTCAACCCAGGCTGGAGTGCAGTTGTGGGTTCATGGCTCTCTACAGCCTTGAGCTGGGGTCAGGTGATCACCCCGCCTCAGCCTCCAAGTAGCTGGGACCACAGGTGCACACCACTGCATCTGTCTAATTTTTGTATTTTTTGTAGATACAGGGTTTCACCATGTTGCCCAGGCTGGTCTCAAACTCCTCGACTCAAGTTATCCGCCCACCTGGGCCTCCCAAAATGCTGGGGTGACAGGTATGAACCACCGCACCTGGCCTGTTTTTCTTGTGCAATAAAATACATAGAGTAAAATTCTATGCAGGTGGGTAAATAATACCAGGTTTCTTTCCTTTTGAATTTGAAATAGGTATTGGCATTTCTTATTCAATTTATTGACACCGCTATATTTCAGGTGTTGTGCTTAGGTTGGAACACAAACATGGGTGCTGGCTAGAGGAGAGGTATTTAAGGGGATGCAGTGAAGTATGAGAGTCCGGCCTAGCTCGTGCAGGTGTCAGGTCACCTGTTGGAGGTTTCTGTTCATTGTTCTGGGCTCCAGACCTACCTGTGTCTTGTTTCCAGGTCAGGTACCTCAGATTCATAATTTTACCTTCCCTTGGAATCAGTTTAAACTTTCATGTTGATGTCTTTTTTTTCTCTCTACCTGAATAAATGTTCATGAACTTTGACGTTTCTATTTGTCTTCCTGTACATTGCTGTGGCCTGAATCAGTTTGTTCTGTTCCTTAGCCTGTTTTTTCCAGTCTTCTTTTCCCCCACTAGCACCGTAAGAATCTCATTCATATTTGAGAATGAGATTGGTTGATTTGAGAATCATTCATTCATATTTGAGAATGAGAATGAGATTGGTCTTGGTTGCTCTCAGTAAGTCATAACATAAGCACATTCAGAATTCACATTTAATTGTCTATTTTGACGTTTAGTGATAAGGTTCGTGATTGCTGGGGGTCGGGGCACTTTTTCACCCGAGTCAATCTGCTGAGCCCTTGGAGCCTGCGGCTGTGCTTTGCAGGGACACCGTGCCAGGACACGCTGGTCCCTGCTGCAGCTCTGCACCTGCCAGTTGAGCAGTCCCGTCTTGGCTGCCGCCACCACTCTTTTCAGGTCCACACTCTGACCATCGCCTTCCCTTCCATAGGAGCTGCACTGCAGGGGAGTGCTCAGGTGGCAGCCTTCCTGCTTCGCCTGCTCACTGCAAAATTCTCTCCTTTATAGAAAACCAAAATTTCAAAGAACAGCAGATCACACAGAAGGAATAACAAATTGTCTTCAAAGTAGATTAATGATGATCCATGTCTGTTTTAGAATAACCATCCATCCCAACAGATGTGTTTGGACACTTTTCATCTTGCACTCTTAATTTAGGAGTCTTACATTAATCTGATTCTGCTCACCTAATGAGCATGGCTTACATCAAATGAACCTAAACATAGAAAGTTTTCATATTTTTCAGATGTAATCTATCCTTCTCGTGTGTGTGTGTGTATATATATGTTTATCCATACTTTTAGCATAAGTCTGTAAAAGGACATACTGGTTCACAGAAGAAATGCAAATAGTAAGCATATGGAAAAATGTTCAACCTTATAACTGTTAAATGAAGAATTAGGCCAGCCATGCTCACGCCTTTAATTCCCGGAATTTGGGAGGCCAGGGCAGGTGGATCACTTGAGCTCAGGAGTTTGAGACCAGTCTGGGCAACATAGCAAAACCTTGTCTTTAAAAAAAAAAAAAAAAAAAAGCCAGGTGTGGTAGTGCATGCCTGTAGTCCCAACTACTCAGGAGGCTGAGGCAGGAGAAACACTTGCGCCTGGGAGGTCGAGGCTGCAGTGAGTCATGATCGCACCACTGCACTCCAGCCTGGGCAACACAGTGAGACCCTGTTTTTACCTATCAGGTTGACAAACATTGTTAAGAAATGACTATTACAGCCAGTGTTGGCAAGGAGACCAAGCTCTACAGTGCAGGCAGAAATGTTAGTTTGCTGTGATCTTTCTGGAGGGAAATTTAGAGATATATTTTTTTGTTTTGAGATAGAGTCTTGCCCTTTCACCTAGGCTGGAGTGCAATGGCACTATCATAGCTCAGTGCAGCCTCCAACTCCTGGACTCAAGTGATTCCACCCCCCACCCCACCTCAACCTCCTGAGTAGCTGTGACTGCAGGCGCACACCACCACACCTAATTTTTTATTTTTTGCAGACATGGAGTCTTGCTATGTTGCCCAGGCTGGTCTTGAACTCCTGGCTTCAAGCAGTCCTCCCACCTTGGCCTCCCAAAGTTGTGGGGTTATAGGCATGAACCACACAAGCCTGGCCTTTCTAGAGACATAAAAATGTACTGTGGCCCAGCAATTTATTTTTTAAACTTTATCCTAAGGAAATAGTTGTATTCAAAATTGCATGTGCAAGGCTCTTCAGCATATTTTAATAATAGGAAACAATGGAAAACA
Organism: Homo sapiens; assembly: GCF_000001405.40. NCBI lineage: Eukaryota > Metazoa > Chordata > Mammalia > Primates > Hominidae > Homo > Homo sapiens. The sequence continues at coordinate 148,736,738 of NC_000007.14, forward strand.
ACCTCAATCTTCAATATTAAGGATAACTATAAACTGCTATTAAAAACACAATGAAGACTGTTGACATGGAATAATGTTCATAATATATTGCTGTGGGAAAGCAGGATATGAAGTGGTATGTGAATTGTGAACCATCAGCACATGCTCCTGCTTTTGAAAAAGTTTGTGTACACCATATGGAAAGGAACTGTCCCTTATAAGGTGGTGGACTTCTATATGAGTTTTTAAAAATTGCTCTTCTTTGCCTTCTAGATTTTCGTATAGAGCATGCATTTAAAAGTGCAGTTTATTAGTTTGCCTTTTGCAAATGTTAAGCCTAGTTTGCAAAGTTCTTGCTATCTTTTACTACTGACCTGGTACTATTAAAATCATTCTTAGGATTGAGAAATTGTATATCTGTCTTAAAGTAAGACCCTGTAGAAATTATGAGATTGTGTACTTGTCACAAGTGATTTTTTTTTTTTTTGGTGGGGTAGGCGGTTAGTATAAATATGGCATGTTCTTCAGCTATTTTTCAAAGTTTGATTCACGGTAATTATACTCAGAGTACTTTGAACATTATGTAACACATTTTTTAGTTCATTATAATCAATTGCAATTAGTTTTTACTTTTGAAGTATGCTATTAGATGTGAATTTATTTGCTTTGTATGGGATATTTCTTTTCAGAAATGCACGTACCCACAGACTGGACAGGACTTTATTCTTTTATAACTACAGACGGATTATACAGGATAGTATGTGAGCCTGCTGTTCTGCCATTTGGTACAGGTTAACTTGTTAATGTTTGAAGATAGGAAGTACGATATATGTGTGTGTGTGTATATATATATATTTTTATATTTATTTATTTATTTATTTATTTATTTATTTATTTATTTTCAGAGGGCGCCTCACTCTGTTGCCCAGGCTGGAGTGCAGTGGTGCAATCTTGGCTCATTGCAACCTCCGCCTCCTGGGTTCAAGCAATTCTCATACCTCAGCCTCCCGAGTGGCTGGGATTACAGGTGCGTGCCACCATGCCCAGCTAATTTTTGTATTTTTAGTAGATACGGGGTTTCATGTTAGCCAGGCTGGTCTTGAGCTCCTGACCTCAAGCAATCTGTTCACCTCGGCCTCCCAAAGTGCTGGGATTACAGGGGTGAGCCACCACACCCAGCCTAGGAAGTACTGTATTTTTAATAAAACTTTTAGTGCAGAGTCTTTCCATGTGATTTTAATAGAAGTTACTTGTTTAAATTTCCACTTCTTAAGTCGCATTTGGGAAACAAGTGGTAGTAGGAAGTGATTCTGTTCTGTTTAGTTTTGCTTCTTTGATTGAATTGGCTTTTCTTTTAGCTAATGAGAATGGTTGGAGTTTGGCAATAACTAAAAGTCAAGAATTGATTCCCCAGGTGTGTTCACTTCAGAAATAAGGCATGGTGCTGTGGGTAACAGAGACATTTGAGAATACTGGCTCCGTCATCCTGCTGCTCACTTTATATTACGTTAGTAGTAGATGCTGAACTCCAGGAAGGCAGTCTGTTGGTGAGGCCTAAGTCACACACATGGTACCTGGCACTGGACAGGTGCCCAGAAGGTGTCTGCTTGCTGAAAGGTGAGATGTGAAGCTTTGCATCTGATAGGACCCTTTCACAGTGACTTGCCCCTCCCCATCAGTACAGAAGCATGCCTTGGCAGACAACGTTTCTAGGATGACAGAAGAGTTGTAGGACCTATTTTGGAGGCTGAACCAGGCTTGGCTCTTGGACATAAACCCCTGTACCACCTTACACCATTTCCCCACCTGCCTGCGGAGGAGGCCCCAGATACCTGCTTACGTTCTCACCTGCTTTCTGGCCAAAGAAGCTTTCAGAGGACCTTCAGCAAAGAACCTCAGAGTTTTAAAAGTCAAATGTATGGGTTTGTTAGAGTCTATGGCTGCCTTAGTATAAAATACCTAATCTATTGTCTGCTGAATGAAACTTCTATTTTATTGCCTTGTAGACTTTTAATTTTTTATCTCTGATGTTTTTGCTTTTTCTTATTTCATCTTAATTCCTATATTTAACTTGTCCTCATACTGTTTTAATTTTTTTTCCCTTTAAGAATAACTTTAGATGTGACCATTTTTCTCCTAAAGATTAGTCATAGTTCGTTTTTCTACTCTTCTAAAGTAAATGATTTATGAACACTTAATTTGTGTGCATGTTGAGGCAACAGGTGGTGAGTGTGGCATTGTGGGGGGCGGTGGGTTCAGGGAGCAGCAGGAGCCCAGGCATAGAGAGCAGCGGGGAGGCTCCGGCCCTGTCCTTTCACACAGGCGCCCTTCAGGGCTCATTCTTCAGGAAAATGGCACACCTCATAATTCAGGAATACATCCGTTTCACAGTCCTTCCTTGAACATGGGGAATTCTCCCCTTCCAGATAATACACTTGAATTATCCCAATAGCGCTTTTTCCTCAGGTCTCATACCAGTGAGGTGTGAGGAGGGGCTGGTGGCCTGGACAGATCTCCCTCAGGCAGCTTCTGATCACATGAAGAGCCTGCTCATTCCATTTCTGATAACATTTCTCCATATAGTTCAGTTGATTTAAAGCTGAGATAAAAATACTGTGAAGCTAAGACTGTGTGTCATCAGAGCTATATAAGATCTGCTTTCACTCCTGCCTCTGCTGACTCAGCCTGGATTCAAAGCACAGTTGATCCTGTTCTTTAGGCGAAGGTGCCCTAAACCGGGGGCACCTCTCGGGCTGCCATGTAAACTTCGTGTCCGTTGAGCACCTTTTTATATGCTCGTTGACCATTCGTATGTCATCTTTTGTAAAGTGTCCAAGTCTTTCGCCTCCTGTTTTTTCCATTTTGGGGATATTTTGCTTTTTGTTAGTTTTAGTTCTTTATATGTCAAGGATACCAGTGTTTTGTCAGATATATTTTGCTAATATTTTCTTCAAGTCTGAGGCTTGCTAATCATTTTCTTAATGGTGTCTTTGGGTGAGCAAATGTTTACTTTGGGGAAACCTAATTTATTGGTTTTATTTTATTTTTGCAGTTATTGCCTCTGTGACATAAGAAACCTTTGCCTAGATCTCAAATATATTTTGTGTTTTCCTCATAAGACTTTATGGTTTGGGCATTTACTTTTAGACCTGTGATCCACCTGGAGTTAACTTTTGTATATGGTGTACAGTAAGGCTTAAGGTTAAATTTCCCCTGTGTGGATATCCAATTATTCCAGTGTCATTTGTTGAAAAAAACTTTTCCTCAATGGACTGTCAACTTCTTGTCAATGTCTACCCCAAAAGTTGATTGATTGGAATGGTATTGAATTTTTTTAATGGCTTTTTTTTTTTTTGAGACAGTTTTGCTGTTTTTGCCCAGGCCGGAGTGCAATGGCGCAACCTTGGCTTACTGCAATCTCCACCTCGCAGGTTCAAGTGATTCTCCTGCCTCAGCCTCCTGAGTAGCTGGGATTACAGACGCACGCCACCACGCCTAGCTAATTTTTTTGTATTTTTAACAGAGACAGGATTTCACCATGTTGGCCAGGCTGGTCTTGAACTCCTGACCTCCAGTAATCCACCTACCTCGGCCTCCCATAGAGCTGGGATTACAGGTGTGAGCCATTGTGCCCAGCCTTAATGGCTCTGAGATCTAATTCACATAGCATACAATGCACTCATTTAAAGTGTACGTTTCAATAGTTTCTGGTATATTCACAGATAATGTTCAACTGTCACATTCAATTTTAGAAGATTTTCATCATCTCAAAAAGAAACCCTGTGCCCTTTAGTTGTCACTTCCTTCTTACCCCTACCTTCTACTAATGTACTTTGTCTCTATAAATTCACCTATTCTGAACATTTTGTATACATGTAACTATATGATATGTGGTGTTATGGACTTAATTGTGCCTCTCCTCCATTCATATCTTGAAGCCCTAACCCCCAGTATATTTGGATGGTATTTGGAGGTAAGGCTATTTGGGGGAATAATTAAGGTTAAATAAAATCGTGAGGGTGGGGCCTTACCCTGATAGGATTGGTGTCCTTATAAGAAGAGGAAGAGACACCAGAGAGCTCTCTCTCCACATACACAGAGGAAAGGCCATGTGAGGACACAGTGAGAAGGTGGCCGTCTGCAACCCTGGAAGAGAGCCCTCACCAGAAACCAACCCTGACAGTACCTTGAGCTCGGACCTCTAGTCTCCAGAACTGTGAGAAAATAAATTCCTGTTGTTTAAGCCGTCTTGTCTGGTATTTTGTTATGGCAGCCTAAGCCGACTAATACATGTGGTCTTTTGTGACTGGCTTTCTTCCATTTAGTATAATGTTTTCTAACTTCATCCATGTTGTAGCATATGTCAGTACTTCATTTTTATGGTAAAATAAGATTCCATTCTGTGGATATACCACATTTTGTTTATCCATTCATCAGGTGATGGACAGTTGGGTTATTTCCAACTTTTTACTATTACGAATAGTGCTGCTGTAAATATTTGTGTACAGGTTTCTATGTAGACATATGTTTTCATTTTTCTTAGATGCCTACAAGTGTTATTTCTGGGTCAGATGGTAACTGTGTGTTTAACCATTTGCAGAACTGCCAAATTATTTTCCAAAGTGGCTGCATTATATTACTTTCCCACCAGCAGTGTATGAGGGTTCCAGTTTCTCCACATTCTGGCCAACACTTGTTGTGTTGTGTTGTATTTATTTATTTAGTTATTTACTTACTTATTTTGAGACAGAGTCTTGCTGTAATTCAGGATGGAGTGCGTGGCGAGATCTCAGCTCACTGCAACCTCCTCCTCTTAGGTTCAAGCGATTCTCCTGCCTCAGCCTCCCGAGTAGCTGGAACCGCAGGTGTGCATCACCATGCCCAGCTAATTTTGGTGTTTGTAGTAGAGACAGGGTTTCATCACGTTGGCCAGGCTGGTCTCGAGCTCCTGGCCTCAAGTGATTCTCCTGCCTCAGCCTCCCGAGTAGCTGGAACCGCAGGTGCGCATCACCATGCCCAGCTAATTTTGGTGTTTGTAGTAGAGACAGGGTTTCATCACGTTGGCCAGGCTGGTCTCGAGCTCCTGGCCTCAAGTGATTCTCCTGCCTCAGCCCCCCAAAGTGCTGGGATTGCGGGCATGAGCCACCACATCCGGCTCAACACTTGTTATTTTCTGACTTTTTGATTCTAGCCATCCTAGTGGGAATGAAGTAGTATCTCATTGTGGTTTTGATGTTCACCCTTATTGAAAATCAGGTCCACAGATTCATGAGTTTATTACTGTCATTTTGTAGTAAGTTTAGAAATTGTGATGTTTGAGTCCTCCAATGTTGTTCTTTTTGTAGATTATTTTGGCTCTTTTGAGTCTCTTGAAATTCTATATGTATTTTGGAATCAGCTTGTTAACTTCCTACAATGAAGCCAACTGGGATTCTGATAGGGATTACATTGAATCTTTGGATCAATTTGGGGAGTATATTAGTCTGTTCTCATACAGCTAATAAAGATATACCCGAGACTGGGTAATTTATGAAGGAAAGAGGTTTAACGGACTCAGAGTTCCACGTGGCTGGGGAGGCCTCACAATCATGGTAGAAGGCAAAGGAGAAGCAAAGTCATGTCTTACATGGCAGTAGGCAAGAGAGCTTATGCAGGGAAACTCCCATTTATAAAACCATCAGATTCTATGAGACTTATTCACTACCACGAGAACACTATCGGGGAAACTGCTTTCATGGTTTGGTTATCTCCACCTGACCTTGCCCTTGACAGATGGGGATTATTACAGTTCAAGGTGCTATTTGGGTGGGGACACAGCCAAACCATGTCAGGGAGTATTGCCATTTTAATTAATAATTCTTAAATCTTTCTACCTTTTCTGGTTTTTTTTTTTTTTTTTTGAGTTGGAGTCTCACTCACTCTGTTGCCCAGGCTGGAGTGCAGTGCATGTTCTTGGCTCACTGCAGTCTCTGCCTCCCGGGTTCAAGCGATTCTCCTGCCTCAGCCTCCTGAGTAGCTGGAATTACAGACATGCACCACCACGCCCAGCTAATTTTTGTATTTTTAGTAGAGACTGGGTGTTTGACCATGTTGGCCAGGCTAGTCTCAAACTCCTGACCTCAAGTGATCCACCTCCCTCAGCCTCCCAAAGTGCTGGGATTACAGGCATCAGCCATCATGCCCAACTCTTTCTACCTTTTCTGATATAAGTATTTGAAAGTATAAATTTCCTTTTAAGGATTTTTAGCCTTATTCTGCAAATTTTGATATGTTGTATCTTCATTACCATTTAATTCAAAACACTTTATTTGACCTTTGAATTATATAGGAAGATATTGTTTAGAAATATTGGATTTTCCCGGGTAGCTTATTGTTACTAATTCCTAATTATAATTCCATTTTGATCAGAGAACACACTGTATAATTTCCGTCCTTTTAAATGTATTGAAACGTGTTCAGTGGCCCAGAAAATAGCCTATCTTGGTGAATGTGCCATGTACTCTTGAAAAGAATGTGGGTTCTGCAGCTGTTGGCTGTAGATGGTGATGTGCTGGAGCTGGATCAGATCAGCTTGCGGGAGATGATTGTGCCCATCTCTCTCCCATCTCCCTGTGTGATATTGTCCTGTTGGTAGCTTGCATCTGCCATGGTGGGAACCTTATACAATAGACATCTATGGAGGCTACAAATCAGGGCTTTTCTTTTTTTCTTTTCTCCCTGCTCAGAGAGCCAATTTACCAGTATACCACTGGGTGTAGAATGTTACAACTGCCCATACAGATCATCCAAGTTGTGATTGATATTTTTCCTATGGTCTAGTTGCTGAGAGGAATGTTGAATCTTATCCTATGATTGTGAAATTGTCTCCTTTACCCTTTAATTCTGTCAAATTTTCATATATTTTAAGCCAGGTGTGGTGGCTCACATCTGTAATCCCAGCACATTGGGAGGCCAAGGCGGGCAGATCGCCGGAGGCCAAGGCGGGCAGATCGCCTGATGCCAGGAGTTCAAGACCAGCCTGGCCAACGTGATGAAACCCTGTCTCTACTAAAAATACAAAAATTAGCCGGTCATGGTGGTGGGCGCCTGTAGTTACTCTGGAGGCTGAGGCAGGAGAATCGCTTGAACCTGGGAGGTGGAGGTTTCAGTGAGCCGAGATGGCACCACTGCACTCCAGCCTAGGTGACAGAGCAAGACTCCATCTCAAAAAACAAATTTTTTTTCATATATTTTGAAACTCTGTTGTTAGACAAAAATACATTTGCGAATATGTCTTTTAAGTACATTTATTATGAAATGTGTCCCTTTTTATCCCTGGTAGTAATTTGTTGCCTGATAGTTATTAGCTTCTTTAACCTCTTTCTATGCTTAATGTTTGCATGATAATCTTTTTCCATCCATTTGCTTTCAACTTATGTGTATTTTTATATTTAAATTGTGTCCCTCATGTCAACATATAGAGCGGTCTTGCTGCTTTGCCCCTTCTGACCATCTCTGTCTTTTAATTGTAGTTTTAGCCCATTAACATTTGTTATAATTATTAATAGATTAATTTTAGGCCTACCATTTTGTTTTTTTCTCCCCTTAAAAAGTTTCTTTGTTCTTGCTTTCCACCCTTCTTTAGGATTATTTGAAATTTTTTTATAGTTCCTTTTTAATATATTTGTTGGTTGTTTCTGCAGTGTGTGTGTGTGTGTGTGTGTGTGTGTGTGTGTGTGTGTGAAAGAGAAGAAGGAATAAAGAGATTGCTCTAAGGATATAATACACATTTTTCTTAACATTCCACTTAGAGTTAAGATTGTATGACATCATAGAAAATGTAGAGGAATTGTGGTTGTATAGTTCCATTTACTACTCGTATCGCTCTCCTTTATATTACCTCTACATATGTTTTTAAACCCACAAGACGATATTATAAATTTTTGTTTTAAACCATCCTTTGTATTTTAAAGAATTAAGAAAAGTATATTTACCCAGATACTTACTGTTTCTACTGCTCTTCATTCCTTCCTAAAGATGCAGGATTCTATTGTAGTGTCAGTTTGCTTCCACCCAAAATGCAGGTCTCTACTATGAATTCCCTTAGTTTTATTTTACCTGAAAATAGCATTATTTTGCCTTCATCTTTGAAGGATATTTTCACTGGCTATAGAACTACAATTACTTTTTTTCTTTCAGCATTTTTTTTTCTTTCACCACTTAAACATGTTATTGCACTGTCTTCTGGCCTTTGTAGTTTTTGATGAGAAGTTACTGGTCATGTGAACTCTTTTTCTGTGTTACGTTCTTTTTCCCTGTCCGCTTTCAAGATTGTTCCCCCTTTGGTTTTCTAGAAGTTTTAATCTTTTTTTTCCTCTCAAGAGTTGATCGTTTCTGTTGGTCTCTGTGCAAACCCATGACTCGTCTTTATTTTGCTGTCAAGACCATCCAATGAGTAATTTATTCTAGATTTCCTGGTATTTCAGTTCTAGAATTTTTATTTTGTTCTTTTTCATGGTTTCTGTTTTTGTGCTGCAATTTTCATTGATTATGAACATATTTTTCTATATCTTTTATTATAACTATAATAGTTGCTTTAGAGTCTTTGTCTCCTAATTCCAACATTTGGGTCAACTACAGCTGGTCTCTGTTGATTGTCTTTTGTCTTGAGAGTGGATCTCATTTTCCTGTTTCTTTTACATCAACCATGTTGGGCTGTGCCATTCCCTTCTTCCAACACTAGGCCACTTTTCAGTATACACCTTCTTTTGGTGGTTCTCTGGTGCCTTCAAGATCATTGTTTTAATATTTTTTCTAGAGTTTATCGTTATTTGCCAGAAATGTGGTTAGGTACTTCGGTACATTTAAAATTGGAATCATGGTTTAAGTAACTGAAAGTTTCAGAGGCTCCATAGTGACTATTAGGATGAAGATGGACTGGAGGTAGGGGGTAGAAAGGAGATGTGTTCTCTATTCGCAGGAAATCAATAATTTACGCAAACGTTGATTGGTCAAAGAACAAAACAAGCATATGACTTAAAGACATGTACATATCCAGCTAAAAATGAAGAACTAACTCTAGAAACAGTTAAAGATGTTTCCCACTATGGGTGGGGAGGGTGGGATCATAACATTCTGGCTTGTTCTTCAGTTGTTTTGCTTGTTTCATCTCTTCAATTTAGATATACGTTGAACCTAAATTGTCATAAGCAGGAAGTCTCCTAACCACTATCATCTAATGCTTTCCATTCCTGACTAGATAATGGTGAGGAGTGATGCTGATTTGGGAATGAATGTGATGTTAAACTGAGTAGAAACTTCAAAACAGCTTTTAAGAAGCATTCGTTTTGTTTCAATTGTGCCTTTCAATCTGTTTTGTGAGGCCCCTTGCCTGTGTGTGTGTGAGGTCCTCTCTGAGGGGTGGGCTTGGGGGAGGAAGTAATGGTGGGGAGGGGCAGTGTTCTGGGCACTGAGCTTTCCTCCACAAAGAACACTTGGTGAGAATGAAAGGATTCTGTGGCCAAAAGTTTAAAACCCCTAGCCCTGCTCTCTGGAAGCAACTGCTACATTGATTCATTGATTCGAGTGCATTGCAAAGTCAGTGCACATAGTACAGTAGCTGGCCAGGTATCAGTGATGACCTAGTCATCATCATTGCATCAGTGCACACTTGCGTGCAGCCTTGTTCTTTCTGTCAGCAAACTATTTAAGGACCATTGCAAGAATCTGCCCTGAAAGAACAAACCTTTGGATATCAAGAAAGCTCAGGATCAGACTTAGAAAATGGATGGGCGCAGATTAGGAGAAAATCCTAGAATTAGCCTTGGACTACTACTAAGGAGTGCTAACATACTTAGTGGCTCGGAGGACAACGTTATGTGGAAAAACACAGACATCCTTAGTAAGAGTCAAAATGATTCAGAATGGACTCTATGTAAAACCATTTTGGCAATATCCTAGCCAATCTATTTAGCTTTTCTTTATCCACTTACGAGAATGTTAGGATAAATCTGTTTAAGTCTAAAACAGGTGATTCTTTAGTAAGTAAAAGTAAAAATTCCATCTGATGAAAATGCATTCTAGTTGGCAGCATTTTCTTTTCTTAAATATACTTAATGATACATGTTACGATTGATGTCTTAGCTGAAATGTGATAAATATATTGCAGTCTTTTTAACCACCATCTATTCCATGACATTGTTAAAAGCTGCGTACTCTATCTTCAGGTGGACCCGAGAGTGGGTTTAACTAAGTTTGACAAATAGCTTGTTACGAGTTTTTTGCCATTAGGAGCAATGCTGTGATAGTTTGCTAGCTAAGTATTTGTACATTTCCGTGATGATTTCCCTGTGATAAATGCTTATGAATATAATTGCTGTATCAAAAGGAATGCACTTGTTGAAGGCTTTTGAATATTCCAGATTTTACTTCAGAAACGGTGTAATTGTGTACACTCTTAAGCATATGGAAGCTCCCATTTTGCTGCACTTTAGCTATCATTGGGTTTGTTTTTTTAAAAACCTTTGTTAATTTAGTAGCTGGGAAGCCATAGATTGCCAAGGAACAGCAGTCAGGCTGAACTAAATAACCTGAAACATCCTGGAACCAAGCACCTAAAACTGGGTGCTGTGTGAAATACAGCAAAGTGTAATGCTCTGCACAAAAGTAAGAGGGAATTCCCAGGCATCTGAAGAAGAGAAGAGAGCTGAAAATGAAGGTGCTAACCATTGTGAGCCTCTGTGTGGCAGCATAAGGACTTGAGCAAGGTAGGCTGGCCGGTAGGGGTCACACAGAAAAGGAAACAAAGCCTTACACCTGGCTGGGAGGGGCTGAGAGCTGACGTTTCCATGGAAACCTGGAAGACAGAAGCCTAAATACCCTTAAGTGTATAGGTGAACTGAAAAAAATAATAATCATCGACCTACTCTCCCAGGAAGGCAACTGCTAAAGGATTTAAGCTGAGCTCTGGATATAAGGAGAGTGGGGAAAGTTGTCTTTAGAATCAAGGAGCAAAAACCACTATGGAAAACAAGACAGGTTTTTAAAAGAGAAATTCTATAAATGTAAAATGAAGTCATTAAAATTAAACACTAAATTTGACACAACCAAAAGAGAATCACTTAACCAGATGGCAGATCAGGAAAAATTAGAAAGTTTGAACAAAGATAAAGTGATAGAAGATCATTGAAGACTTTCAACCAAGGTATAGAAGGTAACATGAAAATATCTCACATAGACGTAATAGAAGAGCTAGGAGAAAATAGAAAGGGGACCGGAAATATTTGAAGAGGTAATAGAATCTTCCAAAATTGTTGCAAGGTAAAGTGGGCATGTCATATTTTAAGGTAATTAACCATTTCAAGAATGTATAACTCCAAAATAAAACAAGAGCTATAAGGGAACAAGTAAACTACCATTCCAGTAGAAGGGGAAAGGGAGGAAAACCGGAAACATAGAAACAGAGTTAAAATAGAAAATACAAAACAGGATCGTAGAAATTAATCCAAATAACAGTATGAAACAGTTTACCTAAAACCAAACTCGTCTATCAGATAATACTAGACTCAGTTTTTTTAAAAAGTCAATTATGCTGTGGTGATTTACAGTAGACACACCAAGACACAGAAACAAAGGTTGAAAATAAAGGGCTGGAACAAAGACATTTAAGGAAAATTCCAACCGAAAGGTATAATAATGTCAGATACAATAAGTTTCTAAGGCAATGTTGTTAGGAATAAACGTGGTTACTTCCTAATCATAAAAGGTACAGGTTACCAGGAATATAATTTCAAATATGTATATTAGTTAACACTGCCTCAAAATATGGCAGATATTTTAGAGAATTATAAGATAAATTGATAAAACCATTTGGGAGATTTCACTAAAAATTTCTTGGTAATTAATAAGCAGACAAATCAGAAACAATATAGAAGATCTGAAAAATAGAGTTGACCAGCTCTAATGGGTCCCTGTATCCAATAGTTAGAGATGGGCATTGTTTTTAGGCACATGTGAAATAATGGCCCCCCCGTTCTGGCCCAGCAGAAATTATATACTTGGCAACAAGTCTCATCACATTTTAAATAAACTGTCAAAAAGATAACATTCTCATGTTTCCGCAATTTAATTTTAAAATGAAATTAAATTTTTTTGAAGGTAAAATACATTTTGGAAATCTAAACTGTTTAACTCTTAGAACGAACAGTGGAAAAGAGAAAATATAACTGAATGATAAGGAAAATATATACACATCAGATTGATGTGATGCAGCCAAGTGGCATGTAGAAGAAACTCTAGTATTAGTATAGGTTTTTCCTATACTTTCCATGTAGTATGAACATTTTATATAAGTATTTTAAATGCTTATTTAAAAAAGGAAATTACAGAGTTAACCAAAACAAGGATTTGTAGAGAAAAGGCATATGTAAGGAAAGAAGTAGTCTGGGCGTGGTGGCTCACGCCTGTAATCCCAGCACCTTGGGAGGCAGAGGTGGGCAGATCACCTGAGGTCAGGAGTTCGAGACCAGCCTGACCAACATGGAGAAACCCCGTCTCTACTAAAAATACGAAAATTAGCTGGGCGTGGTGATGCACGCCTGTAATCTCAGTTATTCAGGAGGCTGAGGCAGGAGAATCACTTGAACCCGGGAGGCGGAGGTTCAGTGAGCCAAGATTGTGCCACAGCTCTCCAGCCTGGGCAACAGAGTGAGACTCCATCTCAAAAAAAAAAAAAAAAAAAAGTAAAAAGGTACAGAAATGAAATAAAGATACAGTAATGAAAATTATTAAAACCCAAAATAGTTCTTTAAAAAACCGACAAGCCTCTGGCAAAATCAATGATAAAAAGAATGGCTTTGAGGCGCCACACACTGCACCCATCTAAAACAGCAAACTTAATCCATAAATGCATGTGTCTGCTCCACCGACTGGCCATTCCCCCATCTCTCTTTGGCCTTCCTACTCCCTGAGACACAACAATCTTGAGTTGAGGCCAGTTGATAACCCCCACAATGGCTTCAGAGTGTTCAAGTAAAATGAAGAGTTGCATTTCTCTCACTTTAGATCAAAAACTAGCAATGATTAAGCCAAATGAGGAAGGCATGTTGAAAGCTGAGATAGGCCAAAAGCTAGGCCTCTTGTGCTAAACAGTTAGCCAAGTTGTGAATGCTAAGGAAAAGTTCTTGGAGGAAATTAAAAGCGCTGCTCCAGTGAATGCACAAATGATAAGAAAGCGAAACAGCCATATTGCTGGTAAGGAGAAAGTTGGAGTGGTCTGGATAGAAGATCAAACCAGTCACAGCATTCCCTTAAGCCAGTGCCTAATCCAGAGCAAGGCCCTAACTCTCTGCAATTCTGTAAAGGCTGGGAGAAGTGAGGAAGCTACAGAAGAAAAGCTAGAAGCTAGCAGAGGTTGGTTCATGCGATTAAAGAAAAGAAGCCATCTTTTATAACAGTAGTGCAAGGTGAAGCAGCAAGTGCTGATGGAGAATAGCAAGTTAGCCAGAAAATCTAGGATCATTGATGAAGGTGGCTGCGTAAGCAACAGATACTCAATTTAGTCAAAACATCCTTCTACTGGAAGGAGATGCCACCTAGGACTTTTTTTTTTTTTTTTAAATTATACTTTAAGTTCTAGGGTACATATGCACAATGTGCAGGTTTGTTACATAGGTATACATGTGTCATGTTGGTTTGCTGCACCCATTAACTCGTCATTTACATTAGGTATTTCTCCTGATGCTGTCCCTTCCCTAGCCCCCCGCCCCACGACAGGCCCTGGTGTGTGATGTTCCCCTTCCTGTGTCCAAGTGTCTTCATTGTTCAATTCCCACCTATGAGTGAGAACATGCAGTGTTTGGTTTTCTGTCCTTGTGATAGTTTGCTCAGAATGATGGTTTCCAGCTTCATCCATGTCCGTGGTAAAGAACATGAACTCATCCTTTTTTATGGCTGCATAGTATTCCATGCCACCTAGGATTTTCATAGCTAGAGAGAAGTTAATGCTTGTGTCAAAGCTTCAAAGGACAGGCTGACTCTCTTGGAGGTGAATGTAGCTGGTGACTTTGTTGAAACGAGTGATCACTTACCATTCTGAAAATCCTAAGGCCCTTAAGAATTATGCTAAGTCAAGCCAATGTGGTGACCCGTGCCTGTATTTTCAGCTTCACAGGAGGCTAAGGTGGGAGGATCACTTCAGACCAAGAGTTTGAGGCAGTAGCCTGCTATGATCATGTCTGTGAATAGCCACTGCTCTCCAGCCTGGGCAACATAGTGAGATCCTGTCTCTTTAAAAAAAAAAAAAAACAAAACAAAACTGTCTATGCCCTAGAAATGGATATTAAAACCATAATAAACCACAGTATGAATGCAAGGCCAAGGTTGTGGTCGATGAAAACTCATGCACTACAGGGTGCTGGATAGCCGCTTTGTAGCACTAAGTTGGCAACTCTTAATAAAGTTAAACCCACCACTTTGGGAGGCCAAACAGGAGGATTGCTTGAGCCCAAGAATTTTGGACCAGCCAGGGCAACATAGCAAGACCCCATCTCTACAAAAAATTGTTTAAAAGGGCCTGGCAAGGTGGCTCACATCTGTAATCCTAGCAACTTTGGGAGGTCGAGGCAGGTGGATTGCCTGAGGTCAGGAGTTCAAGACCAACCTGACCAATATGGTGAAACCCTGTCTCTACTAAAAATACAAAAATTAGCCAGGAATGGTGGCAGGCGCCCGTAATCACATCTACTCAGGAGAATCGCTTGATCCCGGGAGGCAGAGGTTGCAGTGAGCCGAGATTACATCACTGCACTACAGCCTGGGAGACAGAGTGAGACTCTGTCTCAAAAAAAAAAAAAAAAAAAACCTCTCTTGTCACTTTGTCACTTAGTATTTCTGTGCTCCAAGAAACTTGTACTCAAGGAGACCTGCTAGTTTTATTCTTTGCAGCTTTGTAAATACACAAAAAATAGGTATCTGCCAAAAGGACTATTAGCAAGGTCCACCACCAAGAGAGTTGATGAAGTATTGTAAATGTGCGTTACACAGTATATTACAGCTGCGGCTATGTCAGATACCATCAAAAACAAATGGCAGAGCAAATGTACATATTACAGTTTGTATAATTTAAAAATGTAGAACATGGCCAGACGCGGTGGCTCACGCCTGTAATCCCAGCAGTTTGGGAGGCCGAGGAGGCTGGATAGCCTGAAGTTGGGAGTTTGAGACCAGCCTGACCTACATGGAGAAACCTCATGTCTACTAAACATACAAAATTAGCCAGGCGTGGTGGCGCCTGCCTGTAACCACAGCTACTCGGGAGGCTGAGGCAGGAGAATCGCTTGAACCCAGGAGGTAGAGGTTGTGAGCTGAGATCACGCCATTGCACTCCAGTCTGGGCAACAAGAGTGAAACTCCATCTCAAAAAAAACAAAACAAAATGTAGAACATGTGAAATATATTTGATACACATTTATCCAGCAAAATATAAAAACATAGGAATGATATATACCAAATCATGGTGCTATTTGCTAGGGTAAGAGGAAGGAGTGGGATGAAAGAGGGAGAATATAGTGCTTCACTTATAACCTGTAATATTTTATTTTCTCAAAAGTTGAGGGAGGCTGTAGGTGGAATATGAGACAAGTGTGGGAATGCAGTAAGATCTATCAAAACTGGGTCATGAGTATACAGTAGTTGTTTATTGTAATCTGTGATTCTCTATACAATTGAAATAGTTAATAATTTTTCATTGTTTTAAAGTATAGTTCTTTGATTATTACCTAGATTGGTTATTTTATTAGGTTTGGGGGCATTAGTATATATTTATTTTACCTTTTAGATTTTCTGTGGTATATTTTGTTCATGTTTCCATAGAGATTCATTTTTTTAATTGCTTTAAATTACCTTAATTTATTAAAGATAGTTTAAGGTATTTCATCTTAATCTACAATTTTGAATTTATTTATTTATTTTTTGAGACAGAGTCTTGCTCTGTCGCCCAGGCTGGAGTGCAGTGGCATGATCTCAGCTCGCTGCAAGCTCCGCCTCCCGGGTTCATGCCATTCTCCTGCCTCAGCCTCCCGAGTAGCTGGGACTACAGGCGCCTGCCACCACGCCCGGCTAATTTTTTGTGTGTGTTTTTAGTAGAGATGGGGTTTCACCGTGTTAGCCAGGATGGTCTCAATCTCCTGACCTTGTGATCCACCTGTCTCGGCCTCCCAGAGTGCTGGGATTACAGGCGCGAGCCACCGCGCCCAGCCTGAATTCATTTTTTTGTGTGATCTTACTTAGAAAGGGCCGCTCCAGCCTGAGAACAGATAAGCGTTCACATATATATTCTTGGTTTTACTGTTTTAGCTTGTATATTTTAAATCTTAATCCATTTGTAATATATTTTGGAATATAACATGGAATATTTAGAAATATCTTGCCCTCATGCCATTTATTAGATAATCTATCTTTTACCCGTTGTCTTGAAGTATCTTTATATAGTAAATTCTTAATTATACCAGAATATTGTTTTGTTCTGTTTTGTTGATCTTTCTGAGTATAAGTATCTTTCCGTTCATTTTATTCAATTAATAATACATGCAGATAAGCTCATCATATTTAAAGGATACAACAGAACACGGTGGTTTTCTGCCCTGCCTGGCCCCATCTTCTCATTCTCTGCGCTCCCCCTGCAGATGCAGCTGTTTTGCAATCAGCTGTCTGTGCTGTGGTTTATACATCTCTCTCTTTCTCAGGAGTGTGTGGACACTGCTGCCGTTCACTGATAAGTTTTAGATGGCTATGACTATTGTAATATAAGGACTTGGCTCTCTGAGTCATTTTAAAATAAAGTTTGTGTTATTTCAATATTTAGAATCTGTGCCTCTGAAAAAGTTACAGCTGAGCATCATAATAGACAGTGCTTATTGTTAGCTTTTTGTTTTTCCTGGAGTCAGTAATTGCATTTTTCTTTTGGGACAGTTTTCCACAAGGTCAGTCACATCAGATAATCTAAAAGGTCCAGATTTTTTTATAGGCAACCTCCCTCCTGGAATGTTCCCTTCTCCACCTTGGCGGTGTTGCTCTCAAGGCCTACCAACAACCTTGTGAATGGGGCTTGTTGACTTTTAGCTTTATGGATAGTGTGAATGGGATCTTTGTTCCATTCTAGTTTTTAACAGGTTTTGGTTGATATATTGGGAATGCATTGGTAATGAAATATAAGAAAATATGTTTATGTTAATGACCGTTAACGTCTGTGATATATGTTGGTTTCCTTAACTTTTCTCCAAGTCATGTTTATAACTACTGTACTAGTGTTCACCAGTCAAACCAAGCACGAGGAGCTGGAGTTCCTCCTTCTAAGTCGAAAAAGGGGCAGACACCTGGAGGAGCTCAGTTTGTTGGCCTGGAATTATATAAACGACTTAAGGAATTTTTGAAGAATTACTTGACAAATCTTCTTAAGGTAAGATGTTTTATATATATACTGAGTATTCATAACAGGATATAAAAAAAGTGAAATAATGGTTCTAACTTGTTAAATCTTTCACTGTCATCTGTTACTGTTTTAGACACTAACGTAGGTGACAGTGTTTTGCTATTGCATAGTCTTTTACCTACTGTGAATATGAAATCACCATAAACTATATTCTAGGGTTTTGTTTTTTCGAGATGGAGATCTCACTATGTTGCCCAGGCTGGATTTTTGATCTCCTGGGCTCAAGTGATCCTTCCACTTCGGCCTCCTGAGTAGCTGAGACTCTGCAAATGCTCACCACCGTGCCCAGCTCTTTCTGTTTTTTAAAATTAGAAAGCTTTGATAACCTTTTAGCATAATAGTGCTTTCGTTAAATTACCAACCATTTTGGATTTGGTTGTTAGAAATGATGAACTTTTTCATTTAAAGCAAATATGTATTCAAATTATCTGCATTTTACTGTGAACCCAATGTGGTGTTCCCTATCAAGGTGTAGAAATAATTGTAAGGTTATTCAGTCTTGGAAACCATGTTTTTCAAATGTGATCTTGCTCTTTACACATGGTTATGAAGTACTTTTTTTCTTTTCCTTTTTTTTTTTTAAGACAGGGTCTTGTTCTGTCACCCAGGCTGGAGTGCAGTAGTGCAATCATAGGTCATTGCAGCCTCCAACTCCTGGGATCAAACAATCCTCCCGCCTTAGCCTTCTGAGTAGCTAGGACTACTGGCATGTACCACCATACCCAGCTCCCAGCTAATTTTTAAATCTTTTGTAGAATCAGGGTCTCTTTATGTTGCCCAGGCTGGTCTCCAACTCCTGGGCTCAAGCAGTCCTCCACCTCCACCTCCCGAAGTGTTGGGATTACAGGTGTGAGCCACAGTGCCTGGCCATGACGTGTATTTCAAAACTGCTGTGAAATTGTGCTCGTGACTACGATGAGTTTCACTGTGAATATCCATTTCCTTCTAGCGTAGGTCCCTCCCACTCCAAGCCTTTGGTTGGGCAGTGTGGTGGAGTCTTTTCCCCTTCATCTCCCGCCTTTTCTTCCTTGGTCTTCATCCTTTGTAGCAAAGGCAGTGTGACTCCTTGTATCTAGCCACAAGATGAGCAAGTGGGTCCTTCATCTGGTTCTACACTGTCAAAGAGTGAAGACGTCTATACTGTGACCCCAGGGAAATTTGCAGGAACTCTTCTGTGTATATATTTTAAATATTTTTTATTTACACAATGTGCAAAAATTCTGCATGCTGCAAAATTGTTTTACCTAATTTATTTTTGCAAGCTAATTGAAAACTTTAAAACATCTTGCTAACAGACTGTATGTAGTTGGCTGGCCATAAGTTGTGACTAGTGTATTATTTTCATCTTCCCCAAATGGTGTTTCTAAGGTCTTGCTGAAGCCACTGTTCTTTTTATTCACAACACATCATAAAGTGAATGTTGTAATTAATTAATTATTCTTTAGTACTAAAGTAAGAAACAGTATATTGTGCTAAGTAAAAAGGTTGATGACCATGCCATCAGTGATATTTTTGCATTTTAAAAAGGTCAAGTACCATCATCCAAAATAGCTTAGCTTTACATTTTAAAGTTCATTTCATATTATTTAAATTTAAATGAACAAAAAATTATTTGTCTCAAGAGATGATCCGGTTTTTACATGGCTTGTTTGGTCACTCGTGTACCTTATACATGTGGAGCTTCCAGTCTGTTGTAGCCATTTAGTTTTCATTGAAGACACTGAGGCTCAGAGAAGCCAGTGGGCTCGCCCCAGCCCTTCCTGCAGCCCTCCTGCCCCCACCTTCCTCTTTCGTGCTTCTCTGCTGCACACACCTAAATGGCAGTGCTGCCATACAGTACCATTAACGTTTTTAAAGGGTAAGGTTTACTTTGTAGATGCCATTAATCCCTAAGAAAAAAAATTCCGGTTAGTCTCCTTCAAATAAAAATTTGTGACTCAAGTTGTGGAAATCTGGATAAAAATAATTTTCGTAAATGCACATTTTCTTGAAATATTGTTATACTATTGTACTTACCTTATTTTTACAGATCACCACAAAAAAGTGTTTTTATGGTTTTTAAGTAAATTTAAAGAAGGAAGAAGATGCATGTAAAAATTGAATAGTATTAGTCTCATTGTCTGAATTGCTAAGTAGGACATGTTGATTTCTTTTTTTTTTGGGAAGGGGTGCGGCGGAGTCTTGCTCTGTCGCCCAGGCTAGAGTGCAGTGGTGCGATCTTGGCTCACTGCAACCTCCGCCTCCTGGGTTCAAGCGAGTCCCCTGCCTCAGCCTCCCAAGTAGCTGGGACTACAGGCATGTGCCACCACGCCCCGGCTAATTTTTGTATTTTTAGTAGAGACAGGGTTTCACCATGTTGGCCAGGCTGGTCTTGAACTCCTGACCTCAAGTGATCTGCCCACCTCGGCCTCCCAAAGTGCTGAGATTAGAGGTGTGAGCCACTGTACCCAGCCAATTTTTTTTTAAACAAATATCAAAAATACAGATGATTTTGTGGTATATTTCTTAATAAAAAGGAATTACCCGCATATCAAATGTTCAGGGTACTTTTTTTGAGTGTGTTTGCATATTTAATACCATGAAAAATGTTCCAGTTTAATTTGAGATGAAAGAATTATTTTACTATATTCTTGTGAGTTTATATATATTAGCATGTTTTTGTATACAGAATAATTTAAAGAAGCCATCTAAAATCACATGTGTCAATGTATTTTAATACAGTAGATGTTATTCACCGTTATTTTTAATTTATAATGTGACAAATTAGTCATCTTAAAGCTTTAGTTAACTTGTTTTTAGGATGGAGAAGATTTGATGGATGAGAGTGTACTGAAATTCTACACTCAACAATGGGAAGATTATCGATTTTCAAGCAAAGTGCTGAATGGAATTTGTGCCTACCTCAATAGACATTGGGTTCGCCGTGAATGTGACGAAGGACGAAAAGGAATATATGAAATCTATTCGGTAAGAGTTTTGTTTTAAAACGTTTTAAATTTGTTTTTGTTTTTGTTTTTTTTAATGGCAAATTGTCTTTCAGCAAGAGAATCTAGGCAAATATTAAGCTTTTTTCAGAATAGTAAACTAATTTTCATTGTTTTATCAATAAATGTCACTTAAATATTTTTTAGCAAGAAAGTAGAAGAATGGGTAAATTGGAGTTCTAAAATACAATTTGCCCATTTCTGCATTTGCTTTTTAAAAATTTCTTCTTTAATTACCTGACCCTACCATCACAGTTTGCCTGGAACTGCCTGAGTTTTCGCACTGAAAGTCCTGAGTCCTGGTAGTCCCAGGCAAATCAGGTGCCATACCTGAGGGCGAGCCCTGAGGATTAGCCCTCCCATGCTTTAGAGTCTGGGAAACGCTGCTTCATGGAGAGGACCCTGAATTAATTAATTACTAAATCACCCTCAGTAATATACGTTTCTTCAGTCAATGAAAGGGGTTTTTTTGGTCCATTGGTTTTCAAAGTATGGTCCTGTATTAGTCTGTTTTCATACTGCTGATAAAGACCTACCTGAGACTGGGTAATTTATAAAGCAAAGGAAGTGTAATGGGCTCAACAGTTCCACGTGGCTGGGAAGGCCTCACAACCATGGCAGAAGGCACATCTTAGATGGCGGCAGGCAAGACAGAATGAGAGCCAAGCAAAAGCGGAAACCCCTTATAAAACCATCAGATCTCGTGAGACTATTCACTACTATGAGAACAGTATGGGGGAACCACCCCCATGATTCAGTTGTCTCCCACTGGGTGCCTCCCGCAACATGTGGGAATTACGGGAGCTATAGTTCAAGATGAGATTTGGGTGGGGACATAGCCAAACCATATCAGGTCCCCAAACCTGCTCTGTCAGCATCACCTGGGGACTTGTTAGAAATGCACATTCTCAGGCCTCATCCTAGACTTAAAGAGAAACTCTGGAGATGGGGCCCAGCAATGTTTTACCAAGCTCTCCAGACAATTCTGATGCATGCTCCAGTTTGAGAACCAGTGTTCTAGAGCAGTTAAGGGAGGACTCAGAACAGTCTGTTCATAGGCTGTCAGATCCACACAGACAATGCCCTTTAAAACTAGTTTTGTTAAAATGTCAGATTCTACATAAAGGAGTTAATCACCATATCCAAGAATGTTGCTATAATAGCAGTACTTTGTAGCTTCACTTTTGACAAATTTAAAAGAAAAACAATGCTGGTTGCAGTGGCTCATGCTTGTAATCCTAGCACTTTGGGAGACCGAGGCAGGAGACCAGCCTGGGCAGCATAATGAGACCTACAAAAAAAATATCCAGGCATGGTGACGCACCTATAGTCCCAGCCACACATGAGGCTGAGGTGGAAGCATCACTTGAGCCCAGGAGGTGGAGGGTTCAGTGAGCCATGGTGGTACCACTGGACTCTACCTTGAGTGACAGAGTGAGATCATGTCTCAAGAAAAAAAGAAAAGCATAATGTATCCCAGATGCATGACTAGTTTTTATTGTCTGTATAGCTCCAGTTTCTATACCAAAATTGTTATTGCTTCATAATGATACTTTGCTATGTAGTTAATCCAGTTCTAACAAAACTTTCTAGGTTTAGTTGTTTGATTTGGGGTTTTTGTGCTTCCCCTTTAACATTTTATTTATTTTTTTAACTGACAAAAATGTGTACACCATGCCTTTTTGAAATATGTGTATATTGTGGAATGGCTAATGGGATTTTTTCTTTTTCACATATAAATGCTTTCTTGAGACTCAAAAGTTGTTAGTGTAGGAATCAGGATGGTCTTGGTTCATTTCCTTTTGGAAACCTGCTTGACCTAAATGTGTACCTTACAGTAACATCACAGACTCCTAAAAATCATTACGGTTTTTAAACTTTTCCTATACTGTTTCCAACAACAGTTAAAGAAAATGTAAATAAAGAAGTTGAGCTGACAAATGTCTGTGCTTGGATACCTCTTGAAGTTGTTGACTCTAGAGAGTGGCTTTCTGCTTTTGTCCTGATAGCAGATTTTGACCAACTTGTAATCTAGAAATTTTGATAAAGTAATTTGAGATTTAGGTTATTTCCTATGACTTCAATCTTGGAAAAACATGGTAAAAGTATAGACATTTTGTACTTTTTTTTCTCCAGCTTGCATTGGTGACTTGGAGAGACTGTCTGTTCAGGCCACTGAATAAACAGGTACCTACTGGTGTGAGCGTGTGCATGTTCCTTTTAAAATCCCTTCGCAGTTTCGTTGCTTAGCTTTTGTCTCGTCACTCCTTCGGATTATCCCATCTTACATTGTTTAGTGGCTGTGAATGTTTAAGGGATATGTAGTAATATATATCATATTCTATAACCTGTGTAATATTTTTCTACATCCTTTCTAAAGGTAACAAATGCTGTTTTAAAGCTGATTGAAAAGGAAAGGAATGGTGAAACCATCAATACAAGATTGATTAGTGGAGTTGTACAGTCTTACGGTAAATAATTTCCCTTTAGTTTATTCAAAGTTTTCACATCAAATGGCAATTACAACAATGCTCTAACAGATGTCATTTTTAAAATATTTTAATATTATAAAGGATATTGTTAGCATTTACGAAGGTACTTACATTTCTTTTTAAGTCAGTGTGACTTTATTTGTTTTTATCCATCATAAAAGCTGTTTGATCCGTGTGCCTTAAGGAAATTTTGATGAAATAGACATTTTGATTATTTTCTTTTCTGGTCTCATAGTGAATTACTGGATATGTTAGAGTGTGAGCTCAATGATAACCAGAAATCTATATCAGCTTGAAAAATTGAGATTGAGAAACTGATAAAGTAATACAATGTCTTAAAAACTTGGGTAGCATTGTATTTCTTTGCAAATTTAAAATTAGTTATTTTTATTGCTTTTGGAAATACAAAAGTTCTCTAAAGGAACTTCATAATTTTGAAGCATACCTGGCCATGGGTCAGAATTACTTGCTTTTTATACGTCTTGGATTTTTTTCCTTTTTTATTTTATTGAAAGAGTGTACTTTAATACTAGTGAGTAAGAGTTACTTATGTCCTGCCATTTCACATTTACCTTTTAAACATAACTTAAACTGAATGCTACACCTAAGTATATTCTGTGAAATATAACCAAAAAAATAGGGTAATTGAAATATAGCTCATATTCATTTCTAGTGGAATTGGGGCTGAATGAAGATGATGCATTTGCAAAGGGCCCTACGTTAACAGTGTATAAAGAATCCTTTGAATCTCAATTTTTGGCTGACACAGAGAGATTTTATACCAGAGAGAGTACTGAATTCTTGCAGCAGAACCCAGTTACTGAATATATGAAAAAGGTAAGCTTAAATATAGTACTTTAAGTAGACTTAAGTTAAAGTCATTGCTACTCAAGTGAGTTCTTTTTAGCATATACAGCTTTCTTTACAAGTCATTTGTTGGGCATTGTTTTTCTAGAGTGTTTTTATCAGGTGCAAGTGCTTCTCCTAATTCTCCAAGGAGCTTCTATAAATTAATTTGGTAATCGTGACTGAGAGTTCTCCTTGCTGTTCTAAGGATATAACCACAATAGCTACATGAATTTTTTTTAACTGTTTATTGTAGAATGTGGATTTATATAAAATGGGCATCACAGTCATGTCAATGAGAAAATTTTAAGAAACAAATATTTTCAGATTTGCAAACTTTAATTTTTTGCTTCTAAAATATCCCTAAGAATCTATTACATAGCTTTCATGATTATATTAGAGGAAAAGTTCTTCTGAAACTAGGCTTTAAATTCTAATATGAGAGGACGGCTGTCCTCCCGCTTCAGCCTCCAGAAGTAATGGGATTAGAGGCGTGAGCCACCACACTCAGCTAATTGTTTTATTTTTGTAGAGATAGGGTCTCGCTATTTTTGTAGAGATAGGTTGCCCAGGTTGGTCTCAAACTCTTGGGCTTAAGTGATCCTGCCACCTGGGCCTCCGAAAGTGCTGGGATTACAGATGTGAGTAACCATGGCCCGCTGATAATAAAGATCTAGTAGAATTACTCTTTGTTCTCTTTCTTAGAAATATAGATATCCTGGCTGGGCGTGGTGGCTCATGCCTGTAATCCCAGCACTTTGGGAGGCCAAGGTGGGTGGATCACCTGAAGTCAGGAGTTTGAGACCAGCCTGACCAACATGGTGAAACCCCGTTTCTACTAAAAATACAAAAAAATTTATCTGGGCATGGTGGCACGTGCCTGTAATCCCAGCTATTCAGGAGGCTGAAGCAGGAGAATCGCTTGAACCTGGGAGGCGGAGGTTGCAGTGAGCCGAGATTGTGCCACTGCCCTCCAGCCTGGGTGACAGAGTGAGACTCTGTCTCAAAAGAAAAAGAAAAAGAAATATGGATATCCTGGATTTAGACTCTAAGGAATGACCTAGGTCTGGAGTCAGCAAACTTATCTTGTAAAGGGCTAGAAAGGAAATACTTTAGGCTTTGTGAGCTATGTGATCTCTTTTGCAGCTGTTCAACTCTGCCATTGCAGCACAAAGCAGCCAGTGGGATATGTACACAACTGAGTGTGGCCGGGTTCCAATAAAACTTTATTTACAGAAAAAGGCAGGCAGGCAGAATTTGGCCTACAGGCTACAGTTTGCTGACCCTTGACCTAGCTGTACTAGGACAATGGTCCCCAACCCTTTTGGCATCACAGACGGTGGCTGGGGGAAGAAGGGGGATGGTTTTGGGACGAAACTGTTCCACCTCAGATCAAAGGAGCGTGCAACATAGATCCCTCACGTGTGTAGTTCACAGTAGGGTTCGAGCTCCTATGAGAATCTAATGCCGTCCCTGATCTGACAGGAGGCGGAGCTCAGGTAGTAATGCTCACTCATATGCTGGTCACCTCCTGTTGTGCGGCCCAGTTCCTAACAGGCCACAGACCCATACTGGCCCACAGCCAGCGATTGAGGATCCTTGTACTAGGAGATCTCCAGGAGTCTGGATCTTTCCAAGCCTGACACCTGCTTGCCCTGTATTCCCTGTTCACTTGGAGTATGAATGGACTGCGGAATCTCTTTTCCGTATGCTGAGATAGAAAGTCAATTAAAAGCAACAGCTCTGCTCTAACCTCATAGAGAAAGTCCTATCCGGTTTGTTTGTGGTGACCTGAATGCATTTTCCTATAGGAGATAGTGGTTATAAATGGGCTTAGAAGTTTGAAGTTGAAAGTCCTTGACAAATCTCTGCTATCTCAAAATCTAACAAAAATGGAACTATTCGGGGTATTATACTTGGAATATTAATGGTTCCTTGTGTATAATGGTGGGCTAAATTGACTTTCCTATGCCAATCTGGAACCTAACCAGCTCACCCAGAGTTTCAAACAACTGCCTAACAAATGAACTTTTGAAACAGTCTGTTTTAAACGTTAACATTGCCTGTTATTTCATTGTTTAATATGACAGTGTTGTATTCCTAAACACTTCTCTTATGAAACTCTGCTGTATATGGTGATTCTTTTAAAACTATATATCCCAAAGACCTCTTATCCAGATGCACATCCACGACAGTGGCGCGAGCCTGTTCTTTTTATGGGTTTATTAGAGGATTGTGGTCATCTCCTTTGTCCACACTGATGAAGTAGTAGTGCTCTAGGGCAAGGAAACCAGTGTTCTAGGGCAGAGCTACTGAAGCACTCCCAGAACAGGTAAATCTGTTTTTAAAACCAGGCCTAGGCCGGGCGCGGTGGCTCACGCCTGTGATCCTAGCACTTTGGGAGGCCGAGGTGGGCAGATTGCCTGAGGTCGGGAGTTCGAGACCAGCCTGGCCAGCATGGTGAAACCCTCTCTCTAATAAAAATACAAAAATTAGCCAAGTGTGGTGGCGGACGCCTGTTATCCCAGCTACTTGGGAAGCTGAGGCAGGAGAATCACTTGAACCTGGGAGGCGGAGGTTGCAGTGAGCCGAGATCGCGCCATTGCACTCCAGCCTGGGCAACAGAGTGAGACTCTGTCTCAAAAAAAAAAATAAAAATAAAAATAAAACCAGGCCTGACACCAAAGACGGTTGAGGAGCAAGAATTTCCAATGGCCTCGATGTTTTCAATCCAGCATGAGGCCCGCCTTCAAGGAAGCAGTGTGCTTCCTACATCCTGGTTCCCATAGAGGGGATTCATTTCTAGAAGAGTTAAAGGTTTGGCCCGGATCCACTTGGATCACACCAAACACGACTTCCATCATATTCTGAAAGATGATAATGCAGAGAGTCTATAAGCATAAAACTGGAATTTGACCATGTAATTCTGCTCTCATCCTATAGCCTTGCATCTCAAACTGAGCTATGAGTCTATTTTTAAATCCCCACCCCACCATTTATTAGGGGGATGACCTTAATGCTTCTGTTCCTCAAATTCCTTATCTGTAAAATGTGAATAATAATAATAGGTAATAATGAGGATTAAGTGAGCTTTAGTATTTACAAATTTTAACATGAGGTATTTATTTGTTAAAAGGTGCTTAGATTGGTGTGTGGCAAAGAGCAAAGCTAATGTATTTGGTATTACAAATATACATCCCACAAAACCTCCAGTGTATGCCTGGGAGGATGCAAAACCACAGGATAAAGGGTGGCAAATCTTACTCAATAACTTAGGGAGCAATTGTGTTTACATTACAACAAACATTCTATCAGGAAATAGAACAACTATGAGATAAAACATGACCCTTCAAGAAATACTCTGCAAATTCTAGCCAGTTGAGAGCAGTTCAAATTCCCTGGGTCTGTGTTCACTTTTCTCTATTAGGAGTGTTTTACAGGAAACATCTAAGAATATTTGGCTTGTCTTTCCAAGGATGGCTTTGAAGAGTGAACCATGTTAGTGTTTCTAAAAGATTTGACTGTCTCATGCGATTGAGACTGATCTGAGCTACAGAAACTCTGTATGACTACTGTAGGTTTCTAATGTCATTTTTTAAAAACTTTAAAAATATACCATACTTCATTAATTTGCTTGTCTTTTTTGGTTTTTATTTTCCTTTTGTTTTTACTGAGAACCGATCCTAGTGAATTAATAAAGACCATCTTTAATTGCATACTTTTATTTAGTCATTTGAATTTGACCTTGGTGTTCTAATACAACAGTCTGCCAAGTACAGTGATGATCAGGAGCCTATTTGACTTGGAATCATTAGAGAACCTAAATGGCTGTCCTTTCTGAAACCTGATGACAATACCTACGACCTTGGTTTCCTTGCCAATATATAAAATAAGCTAGTGTTGAGGCCCCTTGGCCATGAATGTTTCTGTAATCACCTAGGCACCTGTTCACTCTTCCTGCCCCCTCAGCCCCTGCAGGAAGGGTCTGTAGACTAAGAGGTGGAGAGCCGTGCCTCTCAGAGGATGAATCAGGAATGGCATCAAAGCCTAATCTTTCATCTCGGAAGGGGTAAAACTATGTTTTGCTGCCTGAGATGATTATGTTCTTCCAAGAAAGAGTTATAACTTAAAACAGAAAAAGTGGTGCTGTTTGGTTTGCATGTTCTATATTCCACCAGCTTTAGGTTCTTGAGTTATCAGTCTTAGTGGAACATTAGATATAAAGCAGCATTTATTGTTTTAAAATATCTTTATAATCAGAAAAACAAAATTACACATTAACTGTAGACTTTTTGGAAAATACAAATAACATAAACCTACAAGCCTGGGGCACTGTTGCTGATTATATAAACCACATTGGAATCATGGTATAGGTTTTTCGTAACTTGTTCACTAATGATTTGTTATTAGTAGTTGGTGTTTATTTTAGTGGGTAATCATAGTTCATTAACTGAACATATAATAACTGCCTCTTATTGGAAATGTATTAACTTCAAGCTTTTTTCTATTTCTTCATTTATGAGTTGTCTTTTCTTCCTTGTGTTTTTATTTGGTTGTACTCACTGCTTTGCTGGAGATCATTATGTATTAAGAATATTGACCTTTTGATACATACTGCAGATATTTTCCAAGTTTATTTTTCACATTTAGCTATTTAGAACGTGTAATAAGGTTCTGACTTACGTGGTTTAAACAGTTGTCCCATTATTATTAGTTCTTGATAGTACAAGTCCCGCCTAATCATTTTTTCATTTTATTTTTTCTTGGCTCTTGAGTATTGATTCATTACCAGTTGAATTTTTCCAGATTTCTCCAAAATTATACCAAATTTGAAAATCTGGGCAAGGCACGGTAGCTGGACAGCCTATAATCCCAGAACTTTGGGAAGCCGAGGCAGGAGAATTGCTTGAAGCCAGGAGTTTGAGACCAGCCTGAGCAACATAGTGAGACCTTGTCTCTAGAAAAAATTAAAAAGTTAGCCGGGTATGGCGGCATGCACCTGTAGTCCCAGCTGCACAGGGAGGCTGAGGCAGGAGGATCACTTGAGCCCAGGAGTTTGAGGCTGCAGTGAGCTATGATTGTGCCACTGCACTTCAGCCTGGGAGACAGAGCCAAGATCCTGTCTCTGAAAAAAATATATTTAAAACAAAAATCATTTTGGAGAGTATTGGCATTTTTATAATGCAAAATATAATTCTCTTTACTCAGATCACCTGAATAATTTATTGAAATTTCTTCCTTGCTTTGATAATTTAATAGTTTCTCTCTAAATTTTTGAACAGTCTGATTTCTGATGATGATTTCCATGTAATCACTTCAGGGCTTATATTTGTGTGACTCTTGGCTTCAAGTAGTTTTTAATCTAAAGTACCACATCTTAGTATCTGCACAGAAGATGCATTCATTTCTTAGAGTGGCAGAGACATTACCTCAAAAAGATAAAATACCATTCTCTGAGGGATCAAAATGATGTAAAGACATGTTAACTGTTAATAACGATGATGTTGTTAGGGCACTTAAAAAGGAAGTTTGAAATGGAAATACGTATTACAGAGAAAATGGCAGACATCAGTGGCTGTTTAAATATGGTTGTTGTTTACCGTAAAATCAAAGAACTTTTTCCTTTTTCTTTCTGTTTTTTGAGAAACGGAGTCTTGCTCTGTTGCCCAGGCTGAAATGCAGTGGCACAATCATAGCTTACTATGTCCTTTAACTCCTAGGCTCAAGCCATCCTCCCGCCTCAGCCTCCTGAGTAGCTAGGAAGGACTACAGGCGCGTGCCACACCTGGCTAATTTTTTTTTTAGAGACAGGGTCGCACTGTGTTGCCCAGGCTGGTCTCAAAATCCTGGCCTCGAGCAATCCTCCTGCTTCAGCCACCCAAAGTGGCTGAGCCATCATGCCCAGCCCTCCCTTATTTTCTTAATCGCATTTTATTAGAGCTGGCATGTGAATTTAATTTGCCATTTTTCAGTTTCCTTTAATTTACATATTAAAGAATTGTAACAGTTCTTTACCAATGAATCAAAACCATTCACTTGAATTAATTTTCTCCAGGCAGAGGCTCGTCTGCTTGAGGAACAACGAAGAGTTCAGGTTTACCTTCATGAAAGCACACAAGATGAATTAGCAAGGAAATGTGAACAAGTCCTCATTGAAAAACACTTGGAAATTTTCCACACAGAATTTCAGAATTTATTGGATGCTGACAAAAATGAAGGTGAGCCACAAGACTCATAAAATGTAGGTATTTATAATTATCTGTAGTTTTGATATTGCTTTTGATTCTAGACTCTCGAGTCAACGGCATTACTTGCCCATGTCAGTTTTAAAAAGATGCATGTGTTTGTACATCGTTATGTGCCAATTTCAGACTTCTGCAGAGCATTTTGGTTTGACTTAGGGGGAAGAGTGTATTTAGAATATGACTTGCTCCATACACTTTAGCATTAAATGATGCTACCCCAAGTTTTTTCTTGACTGTTCTTCCTTTGAAAATTCTCTGAGATGAGGAGACTGTCATCTTATATTTCCCTTAACCACTCCCATGTTTTACTGGGGCATGTTAGGAGCTCAATAAAAGATTGAAGTTTGGATTTTTCTTCTATGGTCCTCCTAAAGTAACCACATGCTGTATACACGTCTTAAATCAATTTGGGAGACCTTTTCTCAACTCATTTGTTTTTATAATTGAGATAGAAATCCATATTCTCCTTAAATGTATTCATTATTTTTAAACAAATATTTGAGTGCCTATTATGTGTCAGGCATAAATACTATTTCAATCTTGAGAATTTTAGGAAGCATTAGAGTTGTTTCTGATAATTTTTTTTTTTTGCTTAGTCTTAAGTTAGTGGTTTCTCACAGTAAGGGGGAAAATAAATTTACAATAGTAAATTTATAGTAAATAGTAACAATTTCATTGTTACTTTTAGCAAAATATACATATACCAAATAGAGAATATTTGGTTATAATTAAATGCTATTGATTATTAAAGTCTAAAAACATGGTTATCTTTTGCAGAGTATTTTTCATCTCAGTATAAATACATAATTAGTAGAATGGATATGCAAAATTTTTTTCAGTGCATAAAAGGGGTTTCTTCCTCTTTCAGATTTGGGACGCATGTATAATCTTGTATCTAGAATCCAGGATGGCCTAGGAGAATTGAAAAAACTGTTGGAGACACACATTCATAATCAGGGTCTTGCAGCCATTGAAAAGTGTGGAGAAGCTGCTTTAAATGTAAGTGAGATTTCATTGAAAATCAGTCAGGCTGATTATTTCCACATGCGAACTGCAAGCATATGTTATGCGTCTCTACTTCCAAATCTAAATGGTACCATTTTCATTAGAACTCTGAGAACCATGTTTTGTCTTTTTGAAGTAGATAGTTCACAGACATCTTTGTTTAGTAAATACCTCCGTAAGTTTTTCCCTCGCACTTTTTAGGCGTTAATAATGTTATTTTTTTTTTCCTTTTATGCCTTCTCACTGTTAAATTCCTTGCACTCACTAGAAGAAGCTGCTTCCCTAGAAACAAAAGGCTCCTGGAAGCTGTTACTTTGCCACTCACAGTCCACAGGTTGTGCCTTACAGGAACTTTGATCTGGATAGTAGCCTCTGGCTGAAGACCACAGGGCTGTACTCTGGAGAGGCCCTGCAGTTTATAGCATTTCTCTACACCCCTCCGCTTCCCCAGGGCTACATAGAATATTCCTGCTAGGTCATCTGTAATTCAGGTCATCTGTAATTCAGGTGATAATTTCACATTGGAAATAATTGCGTTTTTAAGACACAAATGAGTTGCCTTCAGTTTTGCTCCTGTTGTGAACTTCAGTTGTAACTGGGAGAACAATAGAGAAGAAAAGCTCTTTTTTTTTTTTTTTTTTTTTTTTGAGAAGGCGTCTTGCTCTCTTGCCCAGGCTGGAGTGCAGTTGTGCCATCTCGGCTCACTGCAACCTCCGCTTCCTGGGTTCAAGTGATTCTCCTGCCTCAGCCTCCCAAGTAGCTGGGATTACAGCCGCTCGCCACCATTCCCGGCTAATTTTTGTATTTTTAGTAGAGACAGGGTTTCGCTGTGTTGGCCAGGCTGGTCTCAAACTCCGGACCTCAGGTGATTCGCCCGCCTTGGCCTCCCAAAGTGCTGAGATTACAGGCGTGAGTCGTCACGTGCGGCCGAGAAGAAAAGTTTCTAAAACACATTGGTTCTTACATCTGAATGCAGAAAGCTTCTCTTGTTTTGACTTTATTGTGCTTAATGATTATTTTTGATAGCATTATCAAAAATAGTATTTTTTTAATCCTTATTTTTCTGTTATCTTTTGAAGGCTTCTTTTCCGTGTTTAATTTTGGGAGTTGCTGCTGACACTCAGCCGCCTCTATGAATTATTAAAGGGTTGAGTATAAAGCTTTCCTTTAGGTTTTTAAAACAATTTTATGCTCACAAGATGGGAGGGAACTGGCTCAGCCGTGGATTTTATGAAAAAGATCTCTAGGTTTTAGTAAAAACTTAAGTACAGAGTCCTCAGTGTCGGCACATACAGTGTCTTTACCGTGTGGTGATTACAGAGCCTGGCCAGGCTGCCTGCACTCGGATCTCAGCTCCACCATTGACAGCTATCTCACCCTTGGCGAGTTACTTCTGTCTCTGTCATTTTATTTTATTTTTATTTTTTTAAATAGAATGATAATGCCTATCCCATAGGATATTTGTGAATAAACAATACATGTAAAGTGCTTAAATCAGGGCACATAATTGCTCAGCAGTGATGACTGCTGCACGTTCTTATGAGTACACATAATTTTTTTAATTTAAAAACTCATTTCAAAATTACCCTTCAGTTTTTATGACTTTATTTCCAAGCTAAATGTTCCTTTAAAGGGCCTGATTCACACACACACACACACACACACACACACACACACACACACACACACACACAAAACGCTCACCCTCCTGTGATTCAGAAGGGGTCAATTCGGTGAAGACATTTTTTCAGTAATATAAGGTGCCTTCCCAGTTGTTGATTCAGAACTCAATTTACCTATATGGGCAGCAGAGCCAAGTAAATGACTTGACTTTCCTTGAAATGAGTTAAGTGGGAAGTCTGTTATTTCATCAGATAGATTAATGAAGCAGTTTTTGCTTTTTTCATTTAAATTGCTATATACTAGGTATGAGATTGGCCTTAGGGAACTCGTGTTCTATGTGAATATAGTTAGATTTAAAATAAACATGATAGCTGGGTGTAGTGGTGTGTACCTATAGTCCCAGCTACTCAGAAGCCTGAGGCAGGAGGGTCACTTGAGCCCAGGAGTTCGGGACCAGCTAGGGCAATGTAGTGAGACCCTGTCTCCTTTAAAAGGAAGAAAGAAAAAAAAAGCATTATAAATTACTTTTTCAGTTTTATAGGAAAGATGGGACGTTAATTCTAATGTTCATCTTTTCCAAACCAAAGTAAGGTGCTAAATTGGAGAAATAATCAACTATGATTCTCATGTTCCATTGTTTCTTTCTTGGATACAATCAGCTGCCTGATATTTTAGGCACTGAATAAATGCTGCCGATTGACTTTGTCAATGAGTCTTGAATCTGACATTTACCTAACTCGATCAGTTAAAGCAAAAGTATACCTTCTATGTAAATCATTTCTCTATTTGAGGAAGCTTCATCCGTCAGCAATGACAGCACAAATAAACTGCCTTTAACAGCAGTTACATTTTACGAGAAATCAAGCTTTTAAACAATGCTTGTGTTACTTAAATCTAAGCCACTGATTAACCTGAATTTAAGAACCAAAACAAGATTTTCTCCCGTGAAGAAGAGTTATAGCTCAGTAAACCCACGTTGCATCTGCCTTCACTCACAAAAGTCAAATATTAGTTTTTTTTAGTAAGTTACTGATTCTAGTTATTATTTACATAAGCACTGTTTCTACATTGAACTCATGAAACTCTGAGTTTTTTAATTGTTGTGCTTATGAAGTAAAATGTTCGGGAAAGCAAATACTTTTCCAATTTTCTGCAAAAGGAGTGTTTCCTAAAATGCAGTTTTATTCTTATTTGTAAACTTGCCGTTTGGCTCCTTCTGTTGGAATGCTGTCTGTCTGGTGCATGGGTTCCTCGTGCCCTTCCCTGCTCTGGGCTCACACTTGCCACCTCCATTCGCCATCTCTGGGAAAGCCCACAGAATTGAAGCTCAGGGGGAGCGTGGGTGCCCGGGCCATAGCCTGGCACACAGTAGGTGCTTGATTACTTATTGTAAGAAAGAAACACAGCTGCTAAAAAACAAATACTTTTAAATAGGTTTTAGTTTTTATCATTTATGTGGTAAATGTAAAAGACACATTGTAACCCAACCATAATTATTTTCAAAAACCCACTGATTATGAAAAATCAGGAGAAAAAAAGGTTAGTAAAAGTTAGAATCATTGTACATGATTTTAAGTGGGATTTAATTACCTTGAGAACACAATTTTTAAAGTTTAAAAATTTTTGCCTAATTAAGTTGAATCATAGTGTACGAGAATCATTTATAATTAGCATATTAAATGCCATAGAAGGCACTACCTAAGTGATTTTTTTTAAGTGCAAAAATGTGTAATATCAGTCCCGTGTCTTTCTCTGGACTAGAACACTATATATGTTACACTGAAGCTGTTCTTGATGAAATAAACTCCTTTGAGAGGCCAAAAAAAAGTTTTTTATCTGGCTAATCCTTTTATACCACTAATTTGGTTAGAAAACCAGCTTTACTGCTAATACCTGGCCTAGACTGAAATTCGTAGAGGTTTCCAGTTTATCATGTAAGTCAAATATTTTTTGTGTTCGAAGTTTTAGAACCTACTTATGAATTTTTCTTAAGGCATATCTTTTCCCTAGTTAAAACCAATTTAAACATTAAAGGCTATTTCTGGAAAACTGGCTGAAGGGGAATTTCCCTCATGGCATCTCCCTCTCGCCACCTAAAAGCTGGCAGCCCTCAGTGACGTGAAACTGAAGAGAGAGCCCTCCGAACCTCGGAGTGGGGAGGGGACTGTCCGTCAGGATTCCACTCTGTTTGGAAGCGTTCTCTCCAGCCTTCAGAGAGCCTCGTGATCAAGGGCATTTGTGCTCAACTGATATGTGAGGCGATCAATTAGCCTATTGCACTGGGGCACCAGGAGGACTTTGGGAACCTTGCACACAAATATTCAAGGATGAGATTTCAAACTGGTTTCGAGCTGAGCAAGGGATAGGAGAAATGGCTTGTTTAATAGGCAAGTAACCCCATGCATGATTGCTGGCCCAGGAACAGGTTGGGAATGTATCAAAAAATAGTCTATATTAAAATATAGAAGGTGATGGCCTCCATTCACTTAGTGAGGCTTGAAGGGGAGCATCTTCAAAGCAGAGACCATTCCTTCACGTGGTCATTTTAAAAAGAATTGAATGCCCACTGTGTGTGCCTGGCCCTGTGCTAGGCTCTTAATTTTTCTTATTTGACCAAAGCAACTGCAAACAGTCTCCTGCTTAGAATGGCTCACCTTAATGATTTTTTTGACTTTAAAATGGCATGAAAACAATAGGCATTTATGATACTTTCAATAAACTCATCGTACATTGAAAATACTGTCACACATTCAGGTCCGGGCGCAGTGGCTCACACCTGTAATCCCAGAACTTTGGGAGGCCAAGGCAGGCAGATCACCTGAGACCAAGAGTTCAAGACCAGCCTGGCCAACATGGCGAAACCCCGTCTCTACTAAAAATACAAAAATTAGCCGGGCGTGTTAGCAGGCACCTGTAATCCCAGCTACTCCAGAGGCTGAGGCAGGAGAATCACTTGAACCTGGAAGTCGGAGGTTGCAGTGAGCCAAGATTGCACTGCTGCACTCCAGCCTGGGTGACAGAGAGAGACTCCGTCTCAAAAAAAAAACAAAAAAAAAAACCCACACATTCAGTTTATGATGGGCTTATTGAAACATTATCCCAAATTGAGGAGTATTTTTAGCTGCATGATGTGGTCAGTGTTTCAAATCAAAGGGCAAACAAATTTTGCAGATCAAACTGAAATCGTTGTTTCATTTCTTTAGCAAGCATTTAGGGCATTCCTGTAGTAGACGTGATGTCAAGAACTCTGAATTAGAATGCCTTGCCTTTGTCCTTGTCACATCTCCGTGACCTCATCTGCCTAGTTTAGTGCCTACATTGCAGGTTCATTTGAAACTCACCTCTTCTCCATTCCTTAGCACAGAGGTGGCAGCTGTGTAGCATGAGTCACCCTGCCCTCATGCCTTGTTCATCATAAGCATTAGTAATCTAATAGGGTATAATTTCCTGCAGGGTCTGGACGTAGCCTCAGAATCCTCCTCAAAGCAGTAAGCAGCCTGCCTGTCTCGGTAGCAAGCTGTCTCCTCCTCTGTCTTCTGGGATGAGTCAGTGGAGCATGGGAATTCCTCCTCCCTTGGCTCTTACTGTTTTCTATGCATTTTCTCTCCAGTCCCAAGGCTACCATCTTAATCTGGGCTTCGTTTATCACTGCACCTCCCAAATGGCCCCACATCTCTCCCATTCCCATTCATCCCTCATGATAATTAGCAGTTTCGTCTTTCAGAAATACCACTTAATACATTTATAATTTTACTCTGTGTTCTTTTCATCCTTTGTTTTAAACAAAGCAGAATAAAGCCCTTCCTTGTGATAATATAAATCATAATATTACACTAAATCAAAATCCTCTAATTAGCCCACATTTTCATGAACCCTGTCTTCCAGTGAAACTATTATAATATCATTCCCCTACCCCAAAACTCTGGCTAATGTCTCTACTTATAACACAGTCATCCTTACCTTCTGCTTGTCTTAGTCCTGCTTTTAAGGCCAGCTCAAATCCTCCCTTCTAGAAAGAGCTGACCTTAACTCTTCTATCCTAAGCCCTATTTGTAAAACTCTCATTACAAGTGTACATGTGGTTATAACTTCCTGTGCTTCCTGTCACTGCACCATGGGTGGTACAGCCCTTGAGAGCGAAGCTCACGCCTCATTATAGTTTTATGCTCTGTGGTTTCGGGCCTAGCCTCTTACCCAGCGAGGATCTGTGGATGATAATGGTGAAGGCCGTCTGCTGCAGGGCTGCCGTCTCGGCTGCACGACTCTTGACCCCGCTGCGTGTGTCTTCTCAGCTGGAACTCACCATTGTGTAAATTTGCCTCACTCTGCTTTCCTAGTTCTTCTGTCTTCTCTTCTTAGAGACAGTCCTTCTTTTTTCTACCTGTGAAATACCTATTTATCTCTCAAAACCCAGCTCAAAAGTTTTCTCAGTCACCTTGGAATGGTAGCATCTCCCCCTTGAAATAATGGCACATTGGACTGTTTATGTGACACTGCTTTATGCTTTAGATGTCCGTGTGAACGTCCCTCTATTGTAGCAGAGATGGCTCTATCCAGTTTTGTGTCCTCAGAGCTTATTATGACACCTTATCAGTATACTTACATCTTAGTTACACTTCCCATTGCTCCGAAAAGGACTTGGGGCTGCTCACACAATACGTGAAATAAAATAAGATAAATTAAATAAATCGGAGAATAGCAAAATAAGGATATGAGACACAAAATAGAGCTTAATATAATTCTCAAAGTGTGTGCAATGCAGTCCGTTACTCTTGTTAGAGGTAGGTCATGATTTGCCTCGAAATCGTTGTAGTCAGTACAGAGAGCTTGCCATTAAAGACAGCCAGCGCCGTGGGGTACGATCGGCTAGTAACTCAGAAGAATGATTTTTCTTGATGGTCAGAGCTGAGGATACTTTCTCCAGTGGCTCATCCTAAAAAGCATGGTAGTGCCGTGGACAGCATCATCAGCAGTACACTCACAAGGAAATAGGATGTCAAGTCCTTGGGTAGTTTGATAGTTTTCCATGACACCAGCTTATAGCACAATGCCAAAATAAAGTTCAGGAGAAGGGTCAAATAATGCAGACTTGTAAGTTCCTGTTAATTCTTGACTATACAATTGATTCCATTTTGAATGTTTAACACACAGTTGCTCAGCAGTCTGGATGTTACTGTATTCCCCCACAAAGACAGCTCTGTAAATGAACATAAATCAGGCTATAAGAGAATATCTCCTTACACTTGGTCTTCAGGGCAGAAGTAGCAACAAAAAAGCACAAGTCCTCTTTGAAACCATATCTTGATTTAGTGTCCTCAGCCTAACAGGTATTGCAGTGTGGCCCAACAGAGATGGGTCTGTGAGATACTTCAACACCCGGCAGGGCTGCTGGGTCTAACATTGGAGTGTTGGGCTGCAGACACTGACTGGGGAGAAATGTTGTGAACTTTATTTGCAGTTCTGAGAGAAATGCTGTGTTGAAACAGGAGAGGTTTTCAGAAGCTGCTCTCAGTAGCTGGCTCCAGGATTGGGGTGATGGTATAATACTTACAAAAGGCAGCACATCAGATAGAGAATTTGATAGGCAGAAATTAGGTAGCTCCGGCAAGTTATTTTTCAATGGAAGACTAAGGGGTAGATCCGAGTACATTAGCAGAAAAAGTTCTGTGATTTAGATTGGGAAGTTGAGTTAGAAATAATTATAAAAGCCCAGTCATGTGTGAACTTAGACCAGTGAACAGACGAATGTACTACCAGCTACTTCTGGTAGATTTGAGTTTGGGTTTAGTTTAGACATCCAAGATCCCCTTTCTCTTCTGTAGTGAAGTGCGTGATTAAATAACTGAGTCTTGATGCAAACATTCTCTGGATGGTAAGAAAAGAACACTGTCCAGTCATTGATAAAATTAGCTACAGAACCTTACATTTGGAGTGTAACCCAGCTTGGTTTGTTCAAAGGAGATAGGATACACATGGATAAAGTCAGCTTACACACACAGGAAGAGGGTCAGATGAGAAACTCATAGACTCTTAGAGCCATAGCTATTCCTTAAAGCTGGCTAATGGGTTTATGGGGGTTGATTTTACTATTCTTTTCTCATTTTGAACATATTGAAAATTTTCTATATTAAAACATTTTTTTAAGAAACAAATGTGCAGGTTTTGATTGAGTGGATGTTGGAAAGGAGAAAGAGTGTCTTTAGGACAAAAGGAAGCACGGTTTTGTACAGTAAGTCAGACATTTAATTACACAAAAAGCTGATATATGCTGATAATATACATTGATTCATATAGCACGTAGCTAAATTTGTGAATTACAGGTACATAACTTCAGAGAAACAAGGATGGTTTGGATTTATTTTGTCTGTTTCCCTCCCCTGAGAAATTCGTATGACCTTGCCTTAAAACTTTTAAAGAATACATTTTTAAATCTATATTCCTGCTAAAGAAAACAGTGAATCATTAAAATACCACCAGAAAAAAAAAAAAAAAGGTTTGATTTTTAGTTCAGGTCGGTAATGGCCTGTAAGTACCTTGAAGATGGTATCTTCCTATCACTTATGCCTTGGGACAGTACCCAAGAGTGGCTGAACTTTTTACCTAATTAAAAAATGAGTCATTTATTTGAAAAATTCCACTTCCATTTATTTTATCTGATTTCTTAAATATCCGGTCAACTGCTAATTTGTCAGATGTCATAATTCGTCAGTCCTACCCTTTTCTACAGGCTGAATTTTTAATTTGAAACAACTACACCTCTACCGAGTGTTACTTTCAGACGTAAATTACTGCAGGAAGACCCCCCTCTGCCTTGGTTAACATTTAAATGAGATGCCTCCTGTCCAGGACGCCATGAGACGAAGAGAATAATCATTTTCCCTAAACGAAAATGTACACATTTGTCATTTTGGAGTCTAACATAACCAGGCTTTTTTTTTTTTTTTTTTTTTTTTTTTGAGATGGAGTCTCACTCTTTCACCCAGGCTGGAGTGCAGTGGCATGATCTCGGCTCACTGCAACCTCCACCTCCCAGGTTCAAGCGATTCTCCTGCCTCAGCCTCCTGAGTAGCTAGGATTATAGGCATGTGCCACCACACCTGGCTAATTTTTGTATTTTTAGTAGAGATGGGGTTTCACTATGTTGGCTAGGCAGGTCTCAAACTCCTGACCTCAGGTGATCCACCCTCCTCAGCCTCCCAAAGTGCTGGGATTACAGGTGTGATCCACCACGTCCGGCCGAGGCTGTCATTTTTATATCCAACATACACCCTTCTTTCTCTTAATTATAGGGAAGACTTTAATCATTTCACAAGCAAATCCACTATGGATGCACGTCCCTACCCAAATTTGACTTTATACCCACATCAACTAAATTGTAGTTTAAATAAGTACTGAAGTAACCCTTGATTGGCTCAAGGCCAATTAGAGACCCTGCCCATGAACTTCTCTTTCCTGTCCATCCTCACTGAGTCAGGCAGCCCTATACTCATCTTCCTATACACTACTTCTATTTCAGAACTAACTTAATTATTCCTTTCTGAAACATTCTACCTGGGGAATCTTTTCATTCTCTTCAGAGAAGTCAGTCTTCCCTGGCAAGTCTTAGTTCTGCTTTCAAAGTTTAACATTTTCGTCTGTAAACACTCAGCCCCTAAATCTAGTCCACCTACAGCCTCCACATTTACAGAGTACATTCTGAAAGGCTGAAAACAAGGACTTCAGCCTCACCTTGAACTAAAGGAAATGTAGGTGTCAGCCAGGACTAGGGGAACAACCAGGGGGCGTAACCAAGGCCGGAATCAAAATGAAACCCACACAGTTATGGTGCTGGGATCAGGAATGTGTAGATAGTAGATCAGAATCCAAAGGTGACAATGAGATCAAAGATTTAAAAATTGTGGTCTGAGGTGCAGAGCCATGATTCCAAGATAGATATTGATGATTGAAGCAAAAAGTAGCAGCAGGTAGGCCGGTTAAAATAATGAGAAAAGGTTGGACGTGGTGGCTCACACCTGTAATCCCAGCACTTTGGGAGGTTGAGGCAGGTGGATTTGAAAAGAAAGTATATTCTGCTGTTGTTGGATGAAGTAGTCCATAGATGTCAACCAGTGGTTTATTATTAGTCATGTGAGTCCTGGGGAA
Organism: Homo sapiens; assembly: GCF_000001405.40. Classification (NCBI taxonomy): domain Eukaryota; kingdom Metazoa; phylum Chordata; class Mammalia; order Primates; family Hominidae; genus Homo; species Homo sapiens. The sequence goes on from NC_000007.14 coordinate 148,777,521, forward strand.
CCCAGAGGAACTCCCTCTTCAAACAAATGTTTTACCTGAGTCTGCACGTGTTGGAGAGTTCTCCAAATTAACTCTCATGTAGTCATATGATGCGTAGTAAAGGGAAGACTTAAAATGTGCTCATTCCAATCCTACGTGCCCCTGAAATCCAGGGGCAACTGCAGCAACATTTTTGAATTTAGACCAATAGAGGCTTTGGGGGAGGAGCATTTTCTTGCTGGCATTGTTTAACATTGCCAGGACATCACCATGAAAATAATGAAGGTCAGGCACGGTGGGTGATGCCTGTAATCCCAGCATTTTGGGAGGCTGAGTCGGGTGGATCACCTGAGGTCAGGAGTTTGAGACCAGTCTGGCCAACATGGTGAAATCCCGTCTCTACTAAAGATAAAATTAGCTGGGTGTCATGGCATGCACCTGTAATCTCAGCTACTTGGGAGGCTGAGGCAGAAGAGTCACTTGAACCAGGGAGGCAGAGGTTGCAGTGAGCCGAGATCATGCCACTGCACTCCTGCACTCCTGCCAGGGTGACAGAAGAAGACCCTGTCTCAAAAAAAAAAAAAAAAAAAAAAAAAAAGAAGAAGAAGAAGAATGAGGAAAGAGAGCACTTACTGAATTGTTAGTGTTTTTGTCTCAGTATTTTAAACTTTAAACCATGCTCCATCTGAAGAACTGTTGGTTTCTGCTTATTGAAAGAGGTGAGATGATACAGTAGAAAAGGCCTATTAAGAAAATGCAAGATTATTTCTAAATGATTTTTGAGATCTAACATTTATGTCCCCCTTTTTTTGCCTATTAATATCAAAATTAATGTTTTCCCCTGAGCACGCACAGACTGGTAGTGGTGGGAACCTCAGAACCATGCTGGGTGGTGGGGATACCATTGAGCACCTTCCCAGATAATGGTCCAAGTGCATGGTCTGCACACATACTCTCTATGGTTTTATTTCTGAAGCCTTTGCTTCTCTGTGTTTTGCATGGAGATAATGTTACTTGAAGACCAAGTGCTGATGCTAATGGGAAGAATGACACTGCCCCCAAACAACTGCACGATATGTTTTTGTTACTTAGTGGGGCCTCATTTCTCTCCCCTTTTTAAGGAAAAATTATCTAGAGGTAAGACTGTGGACAGTGTCAAGCCAGGTCCTGGTGTCCTGAGGTTGATCTGTTCTTGTTGACTGCCTGTCCTCAGGGAACTCTCCTAAAGCTCTTGTAATTGATCTGCTCTCTTTAGCCCCTGGCTGGATGAAAGATGTGGAGGCTGAATGTACCCTCAGAGGTAGTGTAGGCAAGAGCAGCTTTCCACGGACTGTCAGATCTGTCCCCTCAGCCTGGAGAGCACCAGTTTATGTAGATGAAATGGTGAAGGATGCTCCCCTCGAGCCTGTAGCACCCCATTATTCCTCTTTAGCAATATTCTTGAATGGTGCTGGGTTACTAGGAAGTGTTCGAGTGTTAAAGTATCACTTAGCACCACAACTGATCCCCAGAAATTGTGTGTAAATATATACCAGCTCTCCATGAGATGATGCCCTCACACCTCTTGTATGCCATATTCGGTTTACCTTTTTAAGAAAGAGTAAGATAAAAAGTTATGTGAGACTCTTAACGTGATTTTCTCTTCGTGAAATTGGCCTTTAGAATTATCCTTTTAGTGGAAATGTATGGAATAAAAGGTCGCAATTCAGTTGTGATTATCATTATGTTCCTGGTTTAGCCATTTAGGAGATTATTTGATGAATGCCACTTCACTAGGTACTTAGAAGTACGGCAGTGGTAGCAGGCAGACACGGTCCCAGTGGGCAACACTGAGATGTACCCAGCAAGGAATTGGCAGGTGTGATTAGTGTTGGGATGGGGTTTGGGAAGTCTTAACAGGGCAGCCTCGGCCTATCTTGGAAATTCAGAGAAAGCATCCCTGAAAAAAGTGTTTGAGATGGAGAAAAGAGTTAGAGCTAGCTAGGCAAAGGGGGATCCCAGACACAACAAAGCCCCTCAGTGGGCGTACACACAGCCCATTCTAAGAACGAAGAAGGCAGCATGGGCTGGCCAGACCAGGGAAAACCTTGAAAGCTGTATTGATGATATTGGCTTAATCCTGAGGGTGCAAGAGGAAACCAACGGAGAGTGATACAGTCATGGAATCGACGGGATATATGTGCTTGCTGCCATGTAGAAAGTGGGTGAAAAGGAAGAAGAGTTGTTACAAGTTGTGATGATTAATATTGAGTGTCAACTTGATTGGATTGAAGGATGCAAAGTATTGATCCTGGGTGTGTCTGTGAGGGTGTTGGCAAAGGAGATTAGCATTTGAGTCAGTGGGCTGGGAAAGGCAGACCCACCCTCAATCTGGTGGGCACAATCTAATCAGCTGCCAGCGAATATAAGGCAGGCAGAAAAACGTGAAAAGGCGAGACTGGCCTGGCCTCCCAGCCTACATCTTTCTCCTATGCTGGATGCTTCCTGCCCTCGAACGTCAGACTCCAGGTTCTTCAGTTTTGGGACTTAGACTGGCTCTCCTTGCTCCTCGAGCTTGCAGATAGCCTATTGTGGGACCTTGTGATTGTGTAAGTTAATACTTAATAAACTCCCGTATATATATATATCTCCTGTTAGTTCTGTCCTTCTAGGGAACCTTGACTAACACACAAGTATACCAGTTAGGTTAGTTAGGTTTGTTGTCGTGGTTCAGATAGTGATAGTGGCCCACTGGAGACTGGGCTGGTCGTGCGGGGAATGGAGAGAAGAATGATGCAGAGACACTGGCTTTGTAATGGACAGGTTTTGTGTTTCGATATTTGTTAAAACTGAATGATGAGTACATGGGGTAAGTTTTACTACTCTTTCTAATTGTGAATATATTTGAATTTTTTCCACAATAAAACGTTGAAAAGAAATGGACGGGTTGTATGGATTGAGTGGATTCACAGGATTCATGAGTCGGAAAGCAGGAACTGAGTCCTGGGTGCCTGGCTCGAGCCGCTGGGTGAGTGGTGGCACTTGCCGAGAAGAGCTCCAGAGAACACAGGACTGGGGAGCAGATCAGGCCATTCGTGACATAGGCTTTGGAAATCCCATGATAGCCCAGGGCAGGCCACACGGGCTCACCTGGGGGAAGTTTGGTGTGGATGTGAATGTGTCCGTCCTAGGTATAACAACAACTGAAATCATATAGGAGTTGAATGAGCCCTTAGGGACAAGCCCTGGGAGATGTCCTGTTTCTTACATGTGAAAAGCTCTCGTGAATACACAGAGGGTCCTGAATCAAACCCATTACTACTTTATTTTTTTAAACCTCAAACCTTTGTTCTTTGCTTTCTTGAAAAAACATCCATTTGATCCAGCTGATCTCTCTCCTCTCTGTTTTATAACCTGTCTTCGTTGTTTACCTCCTGAATGCTAAATCTACTCCCCTTTTGAACATCTTTTCTCTATTTGCTGACTAGTTCCTTAAAATTCTCTCCCGTATATTATTCTAGTGTGTTGTCTGCTTCTTGACCAGTTCCTAAATGGCTTTTCTCTGAACCTCAAATGCTAAATTCACATTTTCAAGGCCAGATTTTTTTTTTTTTTTTTTTTTTGACAGAGTCTCGCACCGTCACCTGGGCTGGAATGCAGTGGCGCGATCTCGGCTCACTGCATCCTCCATCTCCCGGTTCAAGCGATTCTCCTGCCTCAGCCTCCCGAGTAGCTGGGATTATAGGCGCCTGCCACCACCCTCAGCTGATTTTTTTGTATTTTTAGTAGAGATGGGGTTTCACCATGTTGGCCAGGCTGGTCTAGAACTCCTGACGTCATGATCTGCCCGCCTACGCCTCCCAAAGTTCTGGGATTACAGGCATGAGCCACCGCGCCCGGCCAAGGCCAGTGTTTTGACACTTTTCCTTTAGTAGGTTCCATGCAAGTCCTCCCATCTCACCAGCCAGACTGCTGTAGTTGAAAGAATTTTGGAATTGGAGTCTGAAGACTTCTTTACTCCTGGAGATTTGGCTTTCCATGTGAGAAGTTGTTCCTGGCATTCCTTGGGAAATTGGTATTTTTCCAAATTACAAATCTGAGGAAAAATGGCCAAAACATTTTGAGAAAATACAGAAAAGTATTATAATTTGGAAACGTTATAGTCAACATAGAGACATCACTGGTTCAGAGGAGTCCACCAATGACAAGTCGCAAGCAAGAGCGTGAGTAAGTTGAGGCTGGCGTTTTCGGGAATGAGGGTGAAGGCGTGTGGCAGGGAAGCCGTGCAGGCCGAGTGGTCAGGCTGCCAGGTGGGCAAGGCCTTCTAAGTGTGGATCTGTAGCCCCTCTGCTGCTAAGGGTGAAGTCATTCTTGCAAATAAAATAAGTATTAATATTTATATACATAACATGCTATATATAAACCCTGTGAGGGGTCTTCCAAAAAAATAGCAAGTTTTGGAAGCAAATTGAGTCCTTCAATTGGCAGTTGTGACACGCAGTTCTTTGTAGGGCCGTTAACTTGTTAAGGATCCTGCATGTTACCGTATTCGAAAACTACCCAATAGCGTTTCTAGCATTTTCCAGTGTTTGAATCCTCGCTGTAGGCTGGAGCACTTTGTAAATACTGTAACAGAAGGAAGGCAGAGAGAAGAATATGTGAATGTTCTGGAATAATTTGACATGAAATCTGAAAGTGATCTAAAATCTGAATTGGCAGAAGCAATATCTATTTCAGTGACAAAACCACAATTAGGTCAAGCAGAAAATATTTTCATTGTTTAAAAGAAGCAAGCTTATATGAAGTAAGATATGGCCCAACTTGGAGGTGCTTTTGGTTCACTCTGAAGATTAAGACCATCCAGGCAAAGTGGAAGAAGTTTCCCTACGTCTGGGATAGCCATGAAACAAAGAGCAAGGCTATCTGGTAGTGCAGTTCACGCTCTGTGTGTTTTAACATTTTTAAGATGGTAATTTTAAAATATTAAATATCTGCAATACTGCCTTTCAATATTAAGTGATTTTTATTTGGCAATTATTTTGCATTAAGTTCCCTTTTAATGTTTTCTCTTATCAAATGTTTATGTCAGGTGGAGACCATATTTATATCTTATTGAACTTAGCACAATATATTCATAATAAACCTTGCATTTATTATATAGAGCTTTTTTTAACAGGAAACTTCTGACACTCTTAAGTGTAACCCTGTTGCAGAAAAATCATTCATCCTTACTGATACTCATTGTTATTTAAAAACAAGTAAATCAAATGTTATAAAAAATGCAGAATAGGTAGAATTGGGAATGCTGATTTCTGGCACCTGAGCCCTGCAGATTAATGTATCGTGATGTGGAAACATGGGCGTGCCGCGGCGCCTGGATCTGTGCTTGGCTGGGGGTGACCCGGAGCTCCCTCCCACCAACCTTCCCAGCCGGGCTCCCTCGCAGCCCGGAGCCAAGCCTGTGCCTGCCACCATTTCCTGGCAGTGTGCTTAGCTGTGACAGTTTCTACGTCTGTAGAATGGGGATGAAAACAGCACCTGCTGCCCAGTGTGGGCTTTCGCGGTCTCATGAAGGGTGGTGGCGGCGTGCGCTGCATGCCTAGCAGCAGCGCTGTTTTTCTCATTAGCACTTAGCTCCGTCTCCTTTGCCTTCCATTGTCGCCGCCTTCCTTTGGCCACAGGAGCCTCTGCGGCCAGCCTTCCCGTTGCATTTCCATGTTGTTCCTTGTTCCGGGGAGGCCCCTTTGCTGCCCTGCGCCGCGCTCCGCCCCTCTTCCCGTCCTGCGATGAGGCCCTGGCCCCCGGCATCGCCACGCGGATCCGCGCCTCTGGTTTGCAGTGGGTGGGGGCCGCAGTCAGACTCCCGCCCTGAGCCCCGCTTTCCCTCGCGTTGCCTGCCCAGCCGGGCTGATGACCGACCTCGGCGGCTAAACGCCTTCTCCAGCTGAAACAGAGTCCAGAGTTCCACTGTTTAACAAGGAGGAATTGGCAAAGCAGAACTGTCACTTGGAAAATGCTGTTTTCATGATCTCTTTGAGTTTTCACTGTTTTTAATGCAAGCTCGGAATCAATATTTAGTTTTGAGTGTGGAGAATAGATTGTTTTTTCTTTTATATATATAAACAAAATGTCCTATGTGTTTCAACGATGGTACCAAAAGTATTTCTTGCTCTTATCTCTTAACTTTGAAAAGGTATCTATAGCTTTTAGAATATTTTGTATGCTAGTACATGCATTGTATACCTTAATACACAATTTAATCCCCAATAACCAACTTTTGTTTCTATTTCTGCCCCCATTTAAGGACCCCAAAATGTATGTACAGACAGTGCTTGATGTTCATAAAAAATACAATGCCCTGGTAATGTCTGCATTCAACAATGACGCTGGCTTTGTGGCTGCTCTTGATAAGGTAGGTGCGTGAGGGTTGTGACTTGCCTGTAGTATGTATGGATGGGGCGTTTGTCTCTAACTATATTCCGTGTAACGCAGGCTTGTGGTCGCTTCATAAACAACAACGCGGTTACCAAGATGGCCCAATCATCCAGTAAATCCCCTGAGTTGCTGGCTCGATACTGTGACTCCTTGTTGAAGAAAAGGTATTAAATGACCCTATGTTTTCTTAGTATGCCTGTTTAAAATCTCAGCTTTTATATGAGGAATTAAAACCTACATTACATTTTACATACATTAAATTGGAATTTTTGTACCTTATGAGAAAAATGCTTAAACATAATCGTCCTTGCCGTTGAAAATCTGCATTCCCTCCCACTGGCTGTTTTTCAAACAGAAATGTCTCAATGTATTGTGGGACTTTGGTTATTCTCCATCCAAGCACTAACCAGGCCCCACCCTGTTCGCTTCTGAGATCAGACAAGATCGGGCACGTTCAGTTCAGAGTGGTATGGCCGTAGATTGCCTTTGTTATTCTGTGTAGTTTTAAATTTATTTTTGTTAGATGAGTTTTTGTTGCTGTTTCATATTCTTTACTTTTGAATCTTATTTCTCAATTGATGTTTTCTAATCAATTTATGTGTATTAAGATCTGGAAGCAATATAATATATAGCTTTCTCCTCTGCGTGTGTTTTTTGAAGTTCTCATTGAGTTTTTTGTTTGTGTGTTCTGGTTTTTCTCAGCTTCTCTTTCACTTTAAGTTTCCTTCAGTTTAGAAATGCTCTATTTCAGATATCACAACAATAAGTTTTAAAGATTTTAATGAAGGAAGCTAATCTCCTTCTGGCTTTCTGTTGCAATAGTTTTCCACACGCCAAAATTATATTGGTTTTGATATTAATAAATTATATTTTAAACAGCTCTTGAAGGCTAGCATAACCCCGATACAAAAAAGACCGAGAAATACCCACATACCAGAATGAAAAGACTACAAACAAGTGTCACTTGAGAATAGAGTTGTAGAAATCTTAAGTAAAATATTAACAAGCCAGATTTCCCAGTGAACTAAATAATAATTCTTCAAAACATAGTATAGCTTTCTAGGAACATAAGGATAACCCAGCAGTACCAAGTCTGATGTAATTTACTACATTAACAGAGAACCATGTACCAACTATGTGACCTTTTTGGTAAATGATGGGAAAACATTTGATGAAGGTCAATAGCTTTCTCTTAACGCAGTTTACCCAAGGCCAGTGAGAAACTCTGAGTGTTTGATTTTTTTTTCCTGTTTATTGCAATAAACAGGAGTATTTATTCCTGGTTTAATGTGTAATTTAACAATTGCGATCAGATCCTCTCCAGAAATGAGAGGGGACTTTAAATTGGAAGGCCTCTGATGACTTGGTTTCATTTTAGGGGGCTGCATGTTATGACTATGGAGATACTCCACTGGGTCTTCATTCAGTTTGTTTGACAGAACACTTAGTGTCCTTTTTTTTTTGAGACTTAGTCTTACTCTGTCGCCCATGCTGGAGTGCAGTGGCACAATCTCGGCTCACTGCAACCTCTGCCTCCTGAGTTTAAGTGATTCTCATGCCTTAGCCTCCTGAGCAGCTGGGACTACAGGCGTGCCACCACACCCGGCTAATTTTTTTTTTTTTTTTTTTTAGTAGAGACAGGGTTTCACCATGTTGGCCAGGCTCGTCTCGAACTCCTGACCTCAAGTGATCCACCCGCCTCAGCCTCCCAAAGTGCTGGGATTACAGGTGTGAGCCACCACACCTGGCCTTAGTGTCCTTTTTATCCTTTGTCTTTTCATAAATGTCCCTCGTCAAGTCTACTGATACTAGTTAAGGCCACTGATGCAGACAGAATGGCAGAGACATTTCCACAGCACCTCTTTAATGAGCGTGTGTTGGGTGAGTGGAGTCAGGGAGGCACTAAGTTAAACTGCTCCAAGGGAAGAGGAACACCCCTGACCCAAGAGTGCCAAGAATAGGGTTGGGTTTTCTGAACCAACTTTTCTAAAGTTGGAGACACCTCTTCAGAGTTTCTGTGGTGGCTGATTCGTTTTATATGAATTAGGGGGTCTTGTTTATAAAGCAGTCTTGTAGAAAAGACCTGTACAAAAATTCATCTACCTTTAATTCACCTTTGAATTATTATTTGTTCATAGAATGAATCAGTTGTTAAAGGACAATCATCTCTTGTATATACAACTACAGAGGGCAGCAGTTTAGTAGGAATTTAAACCCCTTCATCATCTTTAATGACTGGGCCATGAAAGGGAATCTATGTGCCTTTTTATTTCTCCAAAGTTAAATTACAGCAGACTAGAAAGCAATTGGTAAAGTGAATTTCCTTTACTGAAGTTTAAGTGGATTATCTTAAAGGCAAACTTCTTCAGAATGTTTTTGGAAATGTTTTATAAATATCTCCTGTTGGTTTTCACCTTGGATATTCTAAATGACTACTTCATAATCTGTTCTTCAGTGTTGAGGTTACAGTATGAGATTGCCAGTTTGCTGTAGGTAAGGAAAGTCAACCTTCCCTCTTCCTCTGCACTAATCTGATGAGAACTGATCTTTTGAATGCTTGAAGCTGCATTCTGGCTAAGTGGTGCTTGTTTAAACGTACTGATGTTTTAAAACATGGTATCTTTTTAAAATTTTCAGTTCCAAGAACCCAGAGGAGGCAGAACTAGAAGACACACTCAATCAAGTGGTAAGTGCTTCATGAGCATACCCATTTCCAGTAGCTGTGTATTTCACAAGCTGTTTGTAATGTTATTTGTAGATGGCCTCTGAAATGTGAAAAGTAATAATCATTGATTTTATTTTGAATCTCTGGTTTTACTTCCTAAATTGAGTTACTACTTTTAGCATTCATACTTTTCTCATTAATACTCAGTCAGTCCAACTCACTGAATTAAGGGACTCACAAAACTTTCAAGACTCTGGAGTGGAGATTTTGCCATCATAAACGTTGGCGTACAGACCTGCCCAAAGCCAAAGGCACATCTTGGCTCCTGGCTTGTGGCCGGTGACAGTCAGCTCTGCACTGTTGGCTTGTGTGTGTGCTGGTTAAGTGTGTTGTCTCGGTGGCTTTGCCAGATGGTTGTCTTCAAGTACATAGAAGACAAAGACGTATTTCAGAAGTTCTATGCGAAGATGCTCGCCAAGAGGCTCGTCCACCAGAACAGTGCAAGTGACGATGCCGAAGCCAGCATGATCTCCAAGTTAAAGGTGAGTTTCATCTTTTCCTGAAAAATCCCAGCTTCTGAGTCATTATTAAAACAGCTCTATGGCCGAGCGCGGTGGCTCATGCCTGTAATCCCAGCACTTTGGGAGGCCGAGGCGGGCAGATCACGAGGTCAGGAGATCGAGACCATCCTGGCTAATATGGAGAAACCCCATCTCTGCTAAAAATACAAAACATTAGCCGGGCATGGTGGTGGGCGCCTGTAGTCCCAGCTACTTGGGAGGCTGAGGCAGGAGAATGGCATGAACCCGGGAGGCAGAGGTTGCGGTGAGCCGAGATCACACCACTACACTCCAGCCTGGGCAACAGAGTGAGACTCTGTCTCAGAAAAAAATAAAAAAGCTCTTAGTCTCTCCAGGTTATGAGGCAGGCAGAGGAGTTTGTGCAGTGGTTTGTACAAGAAGCTCTGCCACTGCTCTTCTGAAAGCCTCCCACAACTATCACTCTACTCTCGTTGGGCCCCGGTGCCTTCCCAACCCCTTCCCCACCCCACTGTGGGGCTTCCATCCTACCCAGGCCTGGCTGGGCTCAGCTCACCATCTGTGGGGCCTCTCCTGCCTCCCACACCTTTAGCCTTGCAGCACATTCACACTTCCACACTGTGCTGGCCTGGAGCTGAGTGGAGGTTTTGTTTGCTCTGGGCTTGGTTACTTTGCTGTCACGCAGCCCTTCCTCTGCCACCTCCTTTGCGTGCCTGTGTGTCGGCGCTGTCGAGTGCTCTTATCTGACTTGGGACATACTTTACTTTGGCCCCAAATTATGTAGGTATCTTTGTCAGCGTGGGCTGCCATGACGGAATACCATAGACCAGGTAGCTTAAACAACAGAAATAGTTTCTCACAATTCTGGGGGCCACAAGTCCGAGATCAGGGTGCCAGCTGATTCGGTTCCTGGTGCAGGCCCTCTTCCTGCTTTGTAGGCAGCCACCTTCTTGCAGTGCCTCACGTGTCAGAGAGAGAGTGCAGAGCTCTTGCACATCTCTTACAAGCACACCAATCCCATTGTGAGGCCCCATGCTCAAGACCGCATACCTCCACACAGCATCACGTTGGAGGTTTGGGCTTCAACATAGGGATTTTGGGGGCACACAGTTCAGCTTCTGGTAAGAGATAGAGACAGATTATTTCATCATTGTATTCTACCAGTGTCAGGACACCTTGCTCTTAAATGCTCACAAATTGTGTATGAATTGTGTGTGTGAACACTTCACTGTGCAACATAGAGTTGTGGGGTTTTTTGACAGTGTATTAATATTAATCCATGCATATTTGTACTGTAAAATATAGCAAAATGTTACTAGCTTTGCTAGTAGTTCCATATAATTAAGTATATATTGTATACTCTGATTTCTCTAAGATTCCCTTGTATACATTTGTATTTTTGTACAAATTAATAAGACAGTCATCTGGGTTCTTCTCAGCAAGCTTGCGGGTTCGAGTACACCTCTAAACTTCAGCGCATGTTTCAAGACATTGGCGTGAGCAAAGATCTGAACGAGCAATTCAAAAAGCACTTGACAAACTCAGAACCCCTAGACTGTGAGTATCCGTGTGTCTCTATGTTGTGTTTACAGGCAGAGTTCTCTGTAGCAAATGAAGAAATGACAAAATATTAGGTGAAGATGGGAGGGGCTTTGTCAGAAATTCAAGAACTAAGAAGCGGGAGATTCCTCCCAAATGCCCAGCCCTCCTCCCCCGACTCCCGTGTGACATTAGGAGATGACAACCCTTGAAGTGGTGTCAGCTCTACTGGGGCAAGGTCACCACCTGTTGGGATCTGGGGAGGGACTCACAGGCGTGGTTTTGTCTTGTAAACCTTAGCTTGGATCCATTCTAGCATTTATTTTAATGTTCACTTGGCCTGCATAGGTAACAGTCAAGCTAAAGACCTGTGGCTTCAGACTGGGATTAGGGATCAGTACAGGCAGGTGCAGGTGATTCAGTTCTCCAGGAGAGGCAGCTGGGCTGGTATTTTAGGGCCTTGCATAGTAGTAGGATGGCGGATTTATGCTTACATCATCTTTTGATCATCTTTGTCTTTTTAAATGAAAAATGGAGAATTTTATTTTTCCCAAATCAGAATGACAATTCTATTGTAAAACTGGACAGTTTTGCCAGTGGGCTTTTTAACTATCTGCGAAGATGAAATTACTGTTATAATTTATAGACCATGTGTGGCGTTTCCCAGTAATAAGTGAAACATACACTATAATGAAGTTAGCGGTTTTCTCCTGCTTGTGAGTTTGCATGAGTCTGGGGCTGTGATGATGCCGGGCCTGGCAAGCACAGGCGTGGCTTGAGTGGACTGAGTGATTCAGGACAGAAAAGGAAAGCAAGGGAAGCAGGGCAGGCGTGTGACAGCAGAATTCCGAGGTGGAAGCAAAATGAAGACTCTCACTCTTTGGAAGAAAAGAGTATCTGGCTCTTGCACTTTTTGCTAATTTTAATTGAATAAAATGTTCAATTCTTAATTTTATATTCAAGCAGGATTTTTATTTAATGTGCTTTTTAATAAAGAGCAATCCACATTCATCTGAAATGATTGAATTTTTCAGTTTATAAACTAATTAATGTATTCCAGAATGTTCACTCTCCCCTCTCTTCCGTCCCACAGTGGATTTCAGCATTCAAGTGCTGAGCTCCGGGTCCTGGCCCTTCCAGCAGTCTTGTACATTTGCCTTGCCGTCAGAGGTAAGGATGGGTTTGTCTGCCATCCCATTAGTGCTAAGTGGAGGGTGGGGCAGGGCAGCCTTCACTGTGGAAGGGGACAGGCCTGCAGATGGCCTTCCTGCTGGCTGGCTGCATCACGGTGAACCATGGGGGCAACACTCAGGGAAGAGCCCTGTGCAGTGGGGCAGGTCTGGATGTCTAAAGGTGGGCTGTCTGTCCCAGCTCTACAGACATGTTTCCTTATCTTGTAAAGCAGAACCTAATTAGTTGTGTAATGAACACCTCGATGGACCTGCTGGTCTTGAAGTACAAACCTTTTTTAAGATTGTACCTTCCAGTGCTTAAAGTGCTTTACAAGAGAGGCAGACACCTGGCGTTTGTATTTTACTTTTATGTAAGCACTGACTTTGTACTGTAAGCTTGGAACAGTGGGCTTTACTTAGAAACGCTGCCTGTAGGATGTGGTGAGATCTGTATTCCATATAATGCTGTCCTTTTATCTAGTTGGAACGTAGTTATCAGCGATTCACAGCTTTCTACGCCAGCCGCCACAGTGGCCGAAAATTGACGTGGTTATATCAGTTGTCTAAAGGAGAATTGGTAACTAACTGCTTCAAAAACAGATATACTTTGCAGGTAAGATCACATTTTTATCTTAAAATTTTTCTATTCTAAATGAACATAAGGCAAATTATGGAAATCATTATCAGCTGACTCAGCAGCAGAATCTAGAATTCAGCTTCTGGTGAAATAGTGGCAGGTTTAAAGCATGGAGTTGTAAGAATCAGATGAACCAAATTCCAATTCTTTCTGGCTGGGGAGCAAGTTATTTAATGATTGTGAGCCTCAGTTTTCTCCTCCATTAATGGGAGTGTTAGTACTTTATAGTTGGGAATTGATGTGAAAATTAAATAATGTATTTAGTAAGTGTTTGGCACCGCTCCTGCCTGACACACATCAGCTGTTCAGGTAGTGACTTCAAAAGCTGGAGTTGCATGCATTTCATTATATCAGCTCTCCACCTTACACAGAGCACTTTCACATTAATAACACTCAGTGCTGACAACAATATTGAGTACAACCTAATTTATACCTATGTAACTAAGAATATTTCCATTTCTTAGAGGAGAAAACTGAGGCTTGGGTTAATTTAAGTGAATTTCTCTGAATCCTAGCTTATATGTAGCTGAGCCAAAATTTCAGTTAAAGTCTTTTCTCTTAAAGTCTAGGCTTGGGCTGGTGTGGTGGCTCACGCTTGTAATCCTCACGCTTTGGGAGGCTGAGACCAGAGAATCACTTGAGGCTAGGAGTTTGAGACAAGCCTGGACAACATAGCAAGACCCCATCTCTAGATATTTTTTAAAGTAAAAAGAAAAAAAAGTCCAAGCTCTTTCTACTTCCACTTTTGTACTGAGTGGTCTTCACAAGTAATGGCATATTTTAGTCTCTGAGAAGTTTTCACCAGTGAGTTTCTAAGAAGAATTGCAAATCTGTGTTTAAGTATTAAGAAACTCCAGAATGGGTTGTTCTGCAGACTCAAGCTGCTCATTAATTTAAACTTTTCGTAAATCTACTGTGACTTAAAATTGTTAAAATGCATAGTATTATGCTGGCTCCAGAGGTCTTTATCAACTTGAATGTTTCTTACTATACAATTGAAATTTTGTTTCATTTATCCCCAAATATACATAGAAGAATCCATGTGTTCCACTACAGTACCTGGAATTTCAGTGTCCAGTTTTTGACGGTGGAGGCTTTGCCTAGGGTGTGTCTGCCGTGTTAAGGCAGCCCGGAGCGGGCCCAATAGAAAACATTAGCAACACGCTCGTTCCCTTGTATCTCTGTTCAAGGCCCTGGAAGCAGTGTTGTCTGTGGGCCGCCCTGAAACAGGCATGTGGCGTTTTTTGTTTCTCTTTCCATTGACCAAGGTCTTGCCGAGAGGCAAGCAGTGACTGACAGTCATGGGTCATTACTTGTTGCTGTCGATTATGCAAGAAAACAGGGAGAAGAGAAGGAAGGCGTCCTCGGGGTGTTCATTCGCTTGCACACACTCAGCAATCAGGAACCAACACGTGCTACCTGTCTTTTAGAAGATACTTTAGGGCCGGGTGCAGTGGCTCAGCCTGTAATCCTAGCACTTTGGGAGGCCAAGGCAGGCAGATCACAAGGTCAGGAGTTCGAGACCAGCCTGGCCAGCATGGCGAAACCCCATCTCTACTAAAATACAAAAATTAGCTGGGTGTGGTGGTGCACGCCTATAGCCCCAGCTACTCTGGAGGCCAAGGCAGGAGAATCCCTTGAACCTGGGAGGCGGAGGTTGCAGTGAGTCGAGATTGTGCCACTGCACTCCAGCCTGGGTGACAGAGCAAGACTTTGTCTCAAAAAAAAAAAAAAATAGAAATTTAGTACACTTGCCATTTCATACTTTACTTACTTTTTTCATACTTTCATAGTAAAGTACTTAGGATTAGAAAACCAAATATAATTTGATATTTGTGTTGTTTTACATCAATAATGTGCCAAAAGATAATATTCCTTAGCTCATGTGCCAAAAACAGATTTGGAGATTGATGCTTAACATGTCCATATATACCAGGTGTGTGTATATGTGATTGTCTCTATAAATGCGTGGGGACGTATCTATAGTATGTATCCACATAGACAATACGTTTTTTAAAAAAAACCCTCAAATTATTTTAATGTTTGTAAACATGGAAAATGAATGACTTTGGGAAAATGTTGCATTGTAGTGGCATTGCCACGTTTTATATTCCCTTTTAAATAGATCTGTGCTTTTTTTGTACTTGTTTAAAGAATTTGTTTCATAAATAAGTTCTTCAAACTTGGGCTGTATATTTTGGGAGGTGTTTCCATGCATGTAAATTTTCCTTCTTTTTCTTTTATATGGGGGGCCGCAAAGGCGTCGACATTCCAGATGGCTATCCTGCTTCAGTACAACACGGAAGATGCCTACACTGTGCAGCAGCTGACCGACAGCACTCAAATTAAAATGGTATTCTCATCTCAGGCTCGTTGTTCTATCAGCTTGCCGTTTCCTTGTTCTCGTGGATATTGTTAGGAAAGATAAGGAAGAGGATATGGGCATCTTTAATTTGAAATAGATGTTTGCCTCATGAATATGAATATGGCCTTATTCCAGGATTTTAATACGCACTACAAAAAGCTTCATGTTAAAACTCATTGTTGAGCCAGGCATGGTGGCACATGCCTGTAGTCCCAGCTTCTTGGGAGGCTGGGGCGGGAGGATCACTTGAGCCTGGGAGGTCGAGGCTGCAGTGAGCTATGATCGTGCCACTGTACTCCAGCGTGGGTGACAGAGACCCTGTCTCTTAAAAATAAAACTACGTGTAACACACACACACATACTCCTCATCCATGCTTTTCTCTCATTCATTTAACCAGTTAGGCTTTTCTTACTAAGCTTAAATTTCCACTTTAGTATTATTTTTCCTGCTAGCCATATTTTTTATTGAGATATATTTTAGATAATAAAATTTGACATAACATAAAAGTCATTTTAAAGTGTACAAAGTGGTTTTTAGTATATTCACAAGCTTATAGAACTACCACCATTATCCAATTCCAGAGTGTTTTATCACCCCAAAAAGAAACCTGCACCCATTAGCAGTAACTGCCCGCTAGCTCCCAGCCCCTGACAACCATTAATTTGCTATCAATTTGCCTACTCCAGACATTTCATATAAATGGAATCATATAACACATGACTTTCTGTGCCTGCCTTCTTTCCCTCAGTGTATACTGTTTGCAAGGTTTGCCCATGTTCTAGCATGTGTTGGTACTTCATTTCTTTTTGTGGTCGAATAATCCAATGTATAGATGGACCACATTTTATTTGTTCATCAGTTGATGTACATTTAAGTTGTTTCCAATTATGAACAATGCTGCTGTGAATACATGTTTTCAATTTTCCTGGGTATATACCTAGGTATAGAATTGCTGAGTCATGTAATAGCTGAATTTTTTGAGGCACTGCCAGACTGTTCCATAGTGGCTGTGCCATTTCATATTCTCACCAACAGTGTATGAAACTTTCAGTTTCTCCATATCCTCACCAACATTTGTTATTTTCATTTTTAAAAAAAATTATAGCCATCCCAGTGGATGTGAAGTAGTATCTTGCAGTTTTTGACTTGCATTTCTCTAACAACTAATGATGTGTAGAATCTTTTTTGTGTTTATTGCCATTTGTATATCTTCTTTGGAGAAATGTTTGATCAAATTCTTTGCCCATTTTTCAGTTGGGTTATTTGTCTTTTTGTTGTTGAGTCGTAAGAATTCTTTTAATATTCTGTATACTAGATCCTTATCAAATATGTAATTTACAAATGTTTTTTCCCATTCTGTGGGTTGTCTTCTTACTTTCTTATATACACACATTTTTAATTTTGATGAAGCCTATTTTATCTATTTTTTCTTTATATTGTTTGTGGTTTTGGTGTCATTTTTAAGGAATCATTGCCTAGTCTGAGGCCAAGGACTATTCTCTCCCTATTGTTTGGTGCTGGCAAACTTGTCAAAAGTCAGTTGGCCATAGGTATATATGGGTTTATTTCTGGATTCTCAATTATTTTCCAGTGATCTGTATATCTTTACTATGCCAGTATCACACTGTCTGGATTACTGTTGTTTTGCAGTAAATCTTGAAATCGAGACCCCTAACTTCGTTTTATTTTCCCCCAAGATTATATTGGCTATTCTGGATCCCTTATGTTACCTTATGAATTTCAAGATCAGCTTGTCCATTTCTACAAAAAGTGCAGTTGAGATTTTGATAAGGATTGCACTGAATCTATAGATTGCTTTGGGGAGTATTGCCATCTCAGCAGTATTTTAAGTCTCCCACTCCATGAACATGGGATGTCTTTTCATCTATTTAGGTTGTCTTTTCTTTCAACTGTGTCTCATGGTTTTCAGTGTATGCATCTTCTACTACTTTCAATTTATTCCTAGTTTATTCTTTTTGATGCTATTATAAATGGAATTGGTTTTTAGTTTTTTAATTGAGACGGAGTCTTGCTCTGTCTCCTAGGCTGGAGTGCAGTGGTGCAATCTTGGCTCACTGCAACCTCCGCCTCCTGGGTTCCAGCAATTCTCCCACCTCAGCCTCCCAAGTAGCTGGGATTACAGGCGTGCGCCACCATGCCTGGCTAATTTTTTGTATTTTTAGTACAGACAGGGTTTCACCATGTTGACCAGGCTGGTCTTGAACTCCTGACCTCAAGTGATCTGCCTGCCTCGGCCTCCCAAAGTGCTGGGATTATAGGCGTGAGCCACCGTGCCTGGCAGAGTTGTTTTCTTAATTTCACTTTTTTCTGTTTTTTTGAGACAGGGTCTCTTGCTCAGGCTGGAGTGCAATGGTGCAGTCATAGCTCACTGCGGTATCAAATGATCCTCTCTCCTCAGCCTCCTGAGTAGCTGGCACTACAGGCGCTTGCCACCATGCTCAGCTAATTTTTGTATTTTTTGTAGAGATGGTGTTTCACTGTGTTGCCCAGATTGGTCTTGAACTCCTGGGCTCAAGTGACACTTTCACCTTGGCCTCCCAAAGTGCTGGGATTACACAGGCATGAGCCACCATGCCAGCCTGTTCCACTTTCTGATTGCTCGTTGCTAATGTATAGAAGTACAACTAAGTACCGCAGGGTGTGGTGGCTCACGCCTGTAATCCCAGCACTTTGGGAGCCCGAGGCGGGCGGATCACGAGGTCAGGAGATCGAGACCATCCTGGCTAACATGGTGAAACCCAGTCTCTACTAAAAATACAAAAACAAAATTAGCCGGGCGTGGTGGCAGGTGCCTGTAGTCCCAGCTACTCGGGAGGCTGAGGCGAGAGAATGGTGTGAACCCAGGAGGCGCAGCTTGCAGTGAGCCCTGATTGCGCCACTGCACTCCAGCCTGGGCGACAGAGCAAGACTCTGTCTCAAAAAAAAAAAAAAAAAAAGGTACAACTAATTATTGTATTTTGATTCTGTTTCCTATAACATTGCTAAATGTTTATTAGCTCTAATTTATTAGCTCAAATAGTTTTTGGGGGGATTCCTTAGAGTTTTTTGATATACTGTCATATCATCTATAAATACAGGCAGTTTTGCTTCTTCCTTTTCTTATTTGGCTGCCTTTTATTTCTTTTTTGTTTGTCTTTGTTTTTGCCTGATTCTTCTGGCTAGAATTTGTGGCAAGAACAAGCATCCTTGTCTTGTTACTGCCCTTATTGGGAAAGCTTCCAGTCTTTTACTGTTTAACTGTGATGTTAAAGAGTGATGGTGTTAGCTGTGAGCTTTTACTAGATGTCCTTTATCAGACTAAAGAGGTTCCCTTTTATTCTTAGTTTATTGAATTTTGTATCATGCAAGAGTGTTGTATTTTGTCAAAATGCTTTTTCTACTCTGTCAAAATAACTGCTTTTTTGTCTGTTAATATGGTGTATTGCACTGATGTTGAACCACCCTGGTGTTCTTAGGGTGAGTCCCACTTGGTCATGGTATATAATCCTTTTTCTATGTTGTTGGGTTTAGCTTGCCGGTATTTTCTCGAGTTTTGCATTTATATTCATAAGGGATATTGCTCCATTGTTTTCTCAAGATGTTCGTTTGGTTTTCGTGTCTGGCTAATCCTGGCCTTATGGACTGAGTTAGGAAAGTCATTTTGAATGACTATTTTGTAATCATTCTTCGAATTACTCCTAAATATATCTTCAGATTCTAATAACAAAATGAGTTTGTGCCTTTGTAGGTTGGAGGCCTGGTTGCCCCCTAGACTGTGGGGAGGGCTGTGCAGACGGGTCCTGAGGACAGGGCTGACAGGTGTGGACTGTCAGGTCTTTGCTTGGCTGCTTCTGATCAGGATTTTAGGCCAGTCTCCTGAGTGGTTCTCAGTGTTAGAACTCCCTCAGGAGGCTGCCGCTGCTCTCTCCTTTCTGCCCACAGTAGATGCTGTCCAATCAGACCTGGCTCAGGAAGTGGGCACCCCCGCACCCTGCTCTAGATGCAGTGGGCAGTATTCGAATGGCTGCTGGCAGTTCTGGGTCAGTTACTAGACTAGAGAGAGGCCTCTCGCTTTGACAGCTTTCACCACGTATCCTCAGACCAGAATGGGTACCCATTATGACGACAGGACTCCACTGCCCGTGGGTTGTAAGAGTCCGTGTGACTCTGTGAGTGCCCTCAGGCTGGTCCCTTGGATTTCATGGGATCATAAAGCTGTGAGGCTGAAGGAGGGCTGGGAAGCGTTTACCACACCCACCATTCACAGATGAGAGGCCACACAACGTGCTTGAGTGCATCAAAGGCAAGTTGACAAGGTCGCCTGCCGCTGAGCCCCACTGTTCTCATGAGCAGGACATTATTTTCAGTCTTGCTGGGCAGCTCTTTAATATTTCTTTTGTGATGATCAGTGTCCAAGATGAGCTGTCAGGCACTTAAGAAGTGAAGAGTTCCTGAAGATTTCATTGTGCATGGTTTCCAATACAGGTTCAACATCCCTAATCCAAAAATCCAGATTCCAGAATGCTCCACAATCCAAACATTTTTGAGCACCAACATGATGCTCAAAAAAAAAAAAAAAAAATGCTCATGGCGCAGTTGAAATTTCGGATTTTCCAATCAGGGCTGCTGAATCTGTAAATCCAGTGCAGTATTCCGAAATCCAAACACTTCTAGTCCCAGGCATTTCAGATAAGGGTTACTCAACCTGATTTAAGTATAACAGAATTGTTCATTTCTATTATTGTGTGATCAAGGCCAGAAAGGGGTTGATTTCACTTCTAGAAGTCAGGGTGGAAGGAAGCAGTAAATTTAGTGAACTTCTAAGAAGTACCAACTTTTTTTTCCTTCCAGCATACTCTTCTTTTGGGTGATTTTTTTTTTTTTTTTTAATGGAAAATGGACTGTGAGGTTGCCTGTGGTGGTTATTGCAAAGAAAAATGCATTTTCCCTTTAACTTCCTCTTTTTCTCTTTAATTGCAGGACATTTTGGCGCAAGTTTTACAGATTTTATTAAAGTCGAAGCTATTGGTAGGTTTGCGCCCTTTTATCTTACACTAGAAGAAGCCTTTTCCTGAGATTGTAGAGTAACAATTGTTTTCTTACAGGTCTTGGAAGATGAAAATGCAAATGTTGATGAGGTGGAATTGAAGCCAGATACCTTAATAAAATTATATCTTGGTTATAAAAAGTAAGAAAAATCTAATAAGTAGATGGCCCTTGACCATAGACACGTCCCCCGGGAGCCCTAGCACGGATCTCAGTATTGTTACAAACCAAGGGAGACCGGGGACTCAGTGTGAAGCGACAGGCACTAGGCTGGGAGTGTGAGGTAGGCCTTTGATTCCATTCAGCGAGCCTGATGTTTCTCCAATTCTGAGCTTCTGGGATTTTTATTATTTTGGCAAATAAGTCTCCTTAAATGGCTCACCAAGAAAGTTTGGACCTTTGTGTCCAAGTGGCTTGATTTTATCTCACTTGACAAAATTTGGGAGAGCAGATTAGGGACCTGGATTTTCTGTAATGTGGATGTCCCTGTTAATGGCCGAGTAGGAAACTAGGCCATGATCGGACTCTACCCAGTGCTGGGTAGAGGACATTTTCACGGAGAGCTCACAGAAATCAACATTCTCCCCTCTGTCTAGGGAAGCAGGGCACTTCTTAAAGGTTGAAAAATAGAAAGCAGCCTTCACTGCCTACCTTTTAATATAATAGTGATCGGTTTCCTCATTTTTCTTGATAGTAAGAAATTAAGGGTTAACATCAATGTGCCAATGAAAACCGAACAGAAGCAGGAACAAGAAACCACACACAAAAACATCGAGGAAGACCGCAAACTACTGATTCAGGTGACTTATCTGTATGCCTGTGCCAGGTGTGCTGTCCCTCACGCAGGGATGGCTCGCAAGGACGGGCCGTGGGGGGTAGGCGGGGGTGACAAAGGAGTGATTGCCAGATGAATGGGTCTGTGATGGCAGAAGGTGGCAAGGCCGAGAGCCAGGGCCTTGTTATCTGAATTAGTCCTTTATGTCACCAGGCAAAACAGGGCAGTCCTCTTGCTCTAAATGTTGGAAAGCAAACATTGTGGCAGGTTTGGCTGAAATGAGGGGGAAGGAGAGTTCTTCAGTGGGGAGGATGGGCAGCTTCCGTGGCCTTGAAGATTTAATTTTGTCTCCTTTTTTTTAATGCTTTATGGTTGAGTTAAATTATTGAGGTAAAATTGCTCAAAAGACCCAAACATTGTAATGTTTGCCACGTTAGAGTTGAAACATAGGCAGGTAGAATTGGTTCCCTCTCCCGTCTCACCTGCAGGATGTTTGTTGCCTGTTAGGAAATTGTGATCCTGTGCATAGGCGTCGGCAGCCTCTGTGCAGCTTGTCCTTAACTATCAATACAACGTTGTTACAGCTCTAAATGCACTTCTTTTTCCTTATCTTGTTGCATAGGCGGCCATCGTGAGAATCATGAAGATGAGGAAGGTTCTGAAACACCAGCAGTTACTTGGCGAGGTCCTCACTCAGCTGTCCTCCAGGTTCAAACCTCGAGTCCCTGTGATCAAGGTACAGGACTTTACATAGCAGTCACATTCCTTTCTTAATTTAGAAGATAAAAGATGTAGCAAAAAGTGGATTGATTGCTGTAGCATGAAGGAGGAGGGAGCTGGCTTCTTTGTATGTAGATTTCTATAAAAGAAAGTCGGCTTCAGTTTAACTGTTGAAACACACATACAAAGTGCACAGATGATGAAGTGCCAGCTTGATGACTTTCACAGTCAATACACTGTGTGATCAGCACCCAGGTAAGAATTGAAACATGCCCGGCATCCCGGAAGCCCACCCACCCCAGCCAGCACCTGTGTCCCATAGAAAATCACTGTCGTGTCTTCTGACACCATAAAACAGTTTTGCCTGCTTTTGCGTGATACATAAACAGATTCTAGAGCACACACTCCCGTGCCTGGTAAGAATTTCCTCAGCAGTATCTTCGGGAGGTTCGTCGCATTGCGGTATCGAGAAGCACTGGGTCGTTTTTGTTGCTTTTATGGGTGTTGTGTTATGGGAACACACCTTCCTTTATGTAGCCTACTGATAATTGACATTTTGCTTATTTCTGATTGGGTTTGTTTAAAATGGTAACTAAGCAGGACTTTCCTTTTCCTAAACCACTTGGGTAAGTCACAGCCAGTGGAGAGACTCAGGGGTGGCATTGACAGGTGACTTCCCCAACAGGCAGGAGGCCCAGTGTCCCTCCTGGGTTACATTTGGCACAGGTGCCAGTTCGTTCATGGCTGTTCAGGGAGTTCCCCACAGTCCCCTGTTCCCTGTTCATGGCCTCTTCTTGTGAGACTGAGTCCTGCCGCAGAGGCAGGCAGATTTTGGTGGTAGAAAGGGAGACTGGCCCACGGGGCTCCCGAAGCACCTGACTCCAGTTCCTAGGGCGGGTGCAGGAGGGACTCGGAGTCACCCTCAGCAAGTGTCAGGGAGCTCCGTGCATGAAGGCTTAGCTGCCAGGAAGTAAAACTCTATGCTAACAGATCTGGGGCGGGGACACTGCTCCCCACTGAGCTCCGAATCAGGGGAGATTTGTGGTGGGGGCAGCCTCTCTCTGTTCTGATGATAATTTGTGTTTTTCTTCTCTTTCACTACCTCTTCCTTTTTAAAAATAACACCCAGAAATGCATTGACATTCTAATTGAGAAAGAATATTTGGAGCGAGTGGATGGTGAAAAGGACACCTACAGTTACTTGGCTTAACCCTTCTGGAAGGGTCTGACTGTGTGACCCGCAGCAAATAGTTCATGTTGGAAAGAATGAAAACAACTCAAGTTCATAGCAGCCAGCCTGCCGCCATTGGACCTCCCTTTTAAAAACTGAGACCAAGACTCCCATCAGCTGGTCTCGGATTTACATCGGAACTGCTCAGGATTGATACATTTCAAGTCTGTAAATACGGACACCAACGCCATTTACCCTAATTTAAGAACAGCGGGGACTGACCCTCCGTGCCGAGGGCTGCATGCTACCGCACTAAGTCAATACATGGGCTCCCCGATTCGCAGCTGTCGTCTTGGCAGCACTTGTCACGTTGGCAGCACTTTGAGAGCAAGTCTGAGTGGACCCACATGTAACCTGCTATGAAAACCATTTGTATAGTGTGTTTCATTTTTTAATGTGTGAAAATAAAGAAAATTAAAGGATTTCTGTACAAGTCGCATTGGGTTTTGTTTTAAGTTTTACTAATTTCTATATGTAAATAAAAGATATAATGATTGTGCAAATTTATATTCCTAGTGTCTTCCTGTAGTTCCAAAGGGCCGTATTCTTTGGATTGAAAAGTTTTTAAGATCTCAGAATTTTAAGCCCCTGTGTAATCCTTTTTTTAAAAAAAGAAATCATGCTTATTTTTGTGACTTCTGTGGTGACTTGAATGGACTGTGTCACTGTATTCAGTGAGAGTCGGTGGCCACACACTCATCCTCTTTGACACGTGTAAGGACTAAATGACTTACCCTGACAACCTACGTGTGAAATAGTATCCTCCTTTCTGCAGGTGGGGAAACTGAGGCCAGATGAGGGAAGCTGCCTCTAGTGAGTAGAGGAGGTAGGACTGAAGGTGAGTGGCCGGGCTCCAGGATCCCTGGTCGTCACCAGCCTCTGCTGCCTGAGTCTGAGTCGGCATGGAGAGCATGGGCCCGGGACACGGCAGAGCCTGCTCGTCCATGCTTCTCCGATTGTGGGCTCGGGACACGGCAGAGCCTGCTCGTCCACGCTTCTGTTCCGGCCGTGGGCATGGGACATGGCACAGCCTGCTCGTCCACGCTTCTGTTCCGGCCGTGGGCATGGGACATGGCACAGCCTGCTCGTCCATGCTTCTGTTCCAGTTGCAGCAGGTGGTTATGAGGAGCTGACAGATCAAAACGTCAGCTTTGACTGGTGAAGCTTCCTGGACTCACCCTCGCACCAGCACTACGTCAGGGAGCCAAGGTTCTCTTGCTTTTCAGGCACCTGCTGGAAGATTGGACCATGTTCTTGACTGTTAGAAGAGTTATTCCACTTTGGGAGGCTGAGGTGGGCGGATCACCTGAGGTTGGAAGTTAGAGACCAGCCTGACCAACATGGAGAAACCCTGTCTCTACTAAAAACACAAAATTAGCCAGGCATGGTGGCACGTGCCTGTAATCCCAGCTACTTGGGAGGCTGAGGCAGGAGAATCGCTTGAACCCGGGAGGCGCAGGTGGTGGTGAGCCAGGATCGCGCCATTGCACTCCAGCCTGGGCAACGAGAGTGAAACTCCGTCTAGAAAAAAGAAAAGTTACTCCTCCCTGAGAATGGAATGTTTCCCCAGTGTGTCCCCAGGAGAGGAGGTCCTGGGCCATGGGGATGCACACCCGACCCTCTCCTGGCACGGATGTAACCACATCGTGGGAGCCCTGGGAGCACTCACCCCAGGAACCCTACATGTCGCCTGCCTGCGCCGCAGTGTAGCTTCTTCCTTCTGTCTCCTTTGCCGTGTCACTCACTCCCCAGCCACGGTCAGGGATGCTGCTTTGCTCCCAGTAACTTTGTTTTCCTCATAGAAGCTTCAGGTACCTCACAGGTTTTGCAAGTGATAAATTATGAACATCCTTAGCACATGCCTGTGCCCAAGTGCAAGTTAGCCAGGTGGAGGGAAGGCATAGCTAACAAAATAAGTAGAAGTTCCTGGGGTTTCTCAGGAAACTCGGACATCTGACGGGTTAGTGTAAAAGGATAAGGGCCAGGCGCGATGGCTCATGCCTGTAATCCCAGCAATCTGGGAGGCTGAGGCGGGTGGATCACAATGTCAGGTGTTCAAGACCAGCCTTGCCAACATGGTGAAACCCCGTCTCTACTAAAAATACAAAAAATTAACCGGGCATGGTGGTGCGTACCTGTAATCCTAGCTACTTGGGAGGCTGAGGCAGGAGAATCACTTGAACCCCGGAGGCAGAGGTTGCAGTGAGCTGAGATCACGCCATTGCACTCCAGCCTGGGTGACAGGGCGAGACTCTGTCTCAAAAACAAACAAACCGGGGGGCTAGGCACAAGATAGCTCACGGCTGTAAGCCCAGCACTTGGAGAGAGCTCAGCCTTGTGCAACATAGGGAGCCTCCGTCTCTGCAAAAATTAGCCGGGCTTGGTGGCGCACATTTGCGGTCCTAATCGCTCATGAGGCTGAGGCAGGAGGATCGCTTGAGGCCAGGAGGTTGAGGCTGCAGAGAGCCAAGACCACTGCACTCCAGCCTGGGCAACAAAGCAACCCTGTCACAAAAAAGTTACACAGGTTAAAAAGTAAAATGGTAATAAACCCAGCACTTAATGGTTCTCAACACTTTTTTTTAGTATATCCCCTTTTTCAGACCATCTAGTGAAGAGTCCCAGTATAGAAGCCAGGCAGGAGACAGCTGGTGTTCCGAACTCCACCCTGCCCTGTGGCGCCGGACTGGGAGTAAAGCTCACCTCCTGCTTTTCCTCAAACCAGTCCATTATTCTGCCTGTGAGAAAAGCATGCTGCAAAGGAACACCACAGACCTGCCTTAAGAGCTTGTGTATTTCAGTCCTGCGAATGATAGGAAATATTGTCATGAGTTTGCTGGTCTCTTCAGTTCCTCCGGGATCAAGCAGGCACTTGGGTAAGTACCTTGGTCCCATGGAAATTCCTCACGGTAAGCGAAGGTGAGCTGAGTGATGGGTGAGTCGGGAGTTCGCCCCACACCTTCAGATTCCTGGCCTTTACCTGCTCCCCTTCGCACTGGGTAAGTGTACCGTCTTGACTGGTGTGAAAGAAAAGGCAATTCAAGACCTATGTTTAGGTCCAAATGTCCCTTATGTGTATAGGTTGACTGCATTTCTCTTGGTAAGACATGGAAAGGGAGACATTCCCTGAGGCATTTCTTTTTCAGGACAACTTAGTAAGTCGCTTAGAGGCAGAGTCCCAGAATTCTGGAAACCCCGGGTGTTCAGTCCCTATATGTGGGCAGCATGGTTAGAACCCAGGAGGAAGGTCACATTCTTCCCAGTTCTCAAGCCCTATTCTCCTTGGACAAAATACTTGTATGTGCACAATTACTAGCTGTAATTGTGAAAATTGTGGCCAGGCACATTGGCTCACGCCTGTAATCCCAGCACTTTGGGAGGCTGGGCGGCGGATCACTTGAGGTCAGGAGTTCAAGACCAGCCTGGCCAACATGGTGAAACCCCATCTCTACTAAAAATACAAAAAATTAGCCAGTTGTGGTAGCACACGCCTGTAGTTCCAGCCACTTGGGAGGCTGAGGCAGGCGGATCGCTTGAACCTGGGAGGCAGAGGTTGCAGTGAGCTGAGATCGTGCCACTGCACTCCAGCCTGGGCGACAGAGCAAGACTCCGTGTCAAAAAAAAAAAAAACAAAAATAGTTTACAAAGAACCACCAAGCGCAGTATCACTGAACTAATCCAGCCCCAGAGTACTCACATTGTCACTCTTGCTTTTACCCTTTGTTGAAGTATAGGGGAGCCTGTCTGTAGAACACCAAACATCTGGGACTATTTGCTGCCAAATCCTAGTGGGGGTCTACACGGTGTGGTGGTTACCACTGAGACCAGGCTTACTATCTTGGAATCATGGCCAAAGAGGTTGGAAACAGTATCACAGCAACAAAGGTTTAATCTATTGACAACTTGAACTCATATTTTATAAAATCAATATTTTACCTCCTGGGTTGTAGAAAAATTCATTGTGGTTTAATCAGAGCTGGGCTGTGCACTAAGACCAGATGCACAGGCTGAGTATGTATTGCTGTGACCTAAGGGAACAAGGGAAGGGAGGACCTTGATCTCGGCGCCTGGGAGGGTAAGTCTCCTGGTTGGGCTCTGTTAAGCGTAGGGTATAGACTCGGGATGCTGGCCAGGCACGCCACATGACAGGAATCTGAAGGGTAAGAAAGTGGCTACAGGACCAACAGGTGCCTGTAATGTCATGTATGTATTTTTACTGACAGCATTTTAAGATGCTGCTCCTTGATGAATATTGGTACCTAATTTTCCTGTGAAGTTTAGCATGACCACCCCCAGTTGGAAAACATGCTTGCTGGCCTTCAGCTATTTGAACTGAATCCCCCTTCTAATGAAGACACCTTCTTGTTCGTAGGAATCACAGTCACTTGGCTGCCCAGGTTCATTTTTTATACCATCATCGTTCATCTGTCCAGTTCATGACCCTGTCCAGGGGCAACCCCAACAATGCCCTTGCCGTAACAGGTGAGTGTAGACCACTTCTAATGCCAGGTATCCATGTGTAGCCCCCACTGGAATTGTTTATTTATATCAAGGGATTGAGTGGATACGCAATTATTTCAACTAGTTCCATTAAGAATTATTTAACAGAATACTGTTTTCAAAATGTTTACATTTCGGATCCAGTCTTGATGAGCTATCTACAAGCTTAAATGTGTGGGTTTACATTTGATTTGACTTTTGGTGGAGTTGCTGAACATCTTGGGCAGAAGTGGAAGTGAGGACCTGGCATGGATACGGTGAAGACTGGAGATGGGATGAACCAGACAATAATGAAAACCTAGCACAGCTTCTAGGTGCCTCTAACTTTACCCACAGTAGTTAGTCTGTGGGTGAGGTCCCGCTTATTGTATATGTCAAGCCTTCTATTAAGTAGCTGATGAGCTTAAAAAAAAAAAAAAAAAACGCTGGGCGGAGCAGCTCACACCTGTAATCCCAGCACTTTGGGAGGCCGAGGCGGGTGGATCACTTGAGGTCAGGAGTTCAAGACCAGCCTGGCCAACAAGGCAAAACCCCATCTCTACTAAAAACACAAAAATTAGGGGTGGTAGCCCATGCCTATAATCCCAGCTACTCGGAAGGCTGAGGCAGGAGAATCGCTTGAACCTGGGAGGCAGAGGTTGCAGTGAGCCAAGATCACACCACTGTACTCCAGGCTGATTAGTGACAGAGCAAGACCCTGTCTGTCTTTAAAAAAAAAAAAAAAATCACAAAAAACCTCAATGTTTTAAGAAAGTTTACGAATTTGTGTTGGGCTGTATGCAACCGGCTGTCCACAGGCCAGACAAGCTTGATAGAAGGTTGTATCAAATGGGTTATTAACGTCAAGGATTTCTGTTCAGAAAATCTGTGTTCACGGACGTCACTGAAGAGGCTTTTAGAGAAGCGCATTTCAGATCATGGTATAAAAAGCTTGCTGTGCAATGAGAATACACGACAGGGCTCAAAAACTACTGCTTTCCATCAATGCCACCTTGTCTTTCCTACGCATTTGGGGCTCTGGTACATTGAGCTCACTGGAGGCCTCAAGGATCTGCTTCCCAGCTGTTCCTCTGAGGATGGGTTGAGGGCTGTAGCTGGAATGAGCCATGTCAACAGGTACTTTTGAGCCCAAGTAATCTTTGGGGTCTCATGAACAGGCGATGATGAACAGATGGGCTCCATGCGCCTGTGCCTAGGCAAGGCCAGTGAGCCATCTAGAGAATGACCTAACCCAAATAATGAAGTAACTGCCTCAGGAGATTGATGGCTGCCCAGTTTGCCCAGGGTCCTGCTGAGTGCCGAGCGGAACATGAGGGCATCGAGGGCAACAAGCTCTGAAGTGAATGGTACCGTTTTCTGGGTGAGAGTGGAGATAGTTATTTAGATGTAAAATAGATCAGCACTGTCATTAAGAAACCATGGGACGAGGCTGAGGGAGGGATCTCCTCAATCCCAAATCAAGTGGCAAATTAACTGTAGGACTCAAGTTGCTGCGCCTGTGCACTGATGTGTCAGAGAGAGACCTGATCCCGCAAATGCTGTGGAACTGGAAAGCAAGATGAGTCCATTTAATTAGGTTTCATATTAATACTACCACATTGTAAATAAAAATCTAACTGTAGCAAAGGCAACTGCTAAGTAACTGACAGTATGGACTGGTTTGCAGCGGTTGTCAGGGTTCCCATGATGCTGCTGGTGAATGTACCTGGGGAGGGTGCAGGGAAGTTACCTCAAATTCTGGGACAAACCACATTATCATAAGGCATGCAAGGTACATGTCGTTTCCTTGACGCTTTCAGAGTTTGTGATTTTTACCTCTGAGAAGATATAAAACTACAGTTTGGTTATACCTATCAATCACCTTTTGTGATAAGGTAGGTAAGGAATCCCAACTTATATTGTGTTTGTTTCTAAAGAACTCTATCTAGACTAATGGAGTTTAGAACTAGGTACGTTCTTAAAAATAACCTAAAAGTCTACTCTGTCAGTTTATATATGGGGAACAGACTTGGAGGTTAAATCTCTTTCTCCAGGTTGCACAGCTGACTGGAACGTACCCACCCTGGTCTTGTCTATAAGATCAAGCCCTTTACTGGGTAAGCCCTCAGGATGCACAGCAGTGTTCTTCATATATGTCTTCCACATATTCACAGGCAGTATTAGTTAAATCAAGATTCATACAAAGACAACTAAAAAACCCAAGGAGTTAAATTTAAAAGTTTTTTGTTGAGCAGTCCTGAAAGCAGTTATTGACACGTTATGAGAGATGATTCAACAAGGACAAGTTCAAGTATTCTTTATTCAAAGTTGAAAAATGTACCATACTGCATTATTGCAAAAATTCACTGGTACAAAACACTTTGCAGCTGGTGAGAAGGCAATAAAAAGTTGATTTTTAAACTCATTACTATAAATTATTCTTACAGTACTTTGCAAATTCAGAATTTCAAACTGCATGTTCTTTTTCTAAATTGCCCACAGTACTCGAGGTTCCTGAAGCTAAGGCAGCTGTTTCAGAGGAGGGGGGAGGAGGTAGC
Organism: Homo sapiens; assembly: GCF_000001405.40. Taxonomy (NCBI): domain Eukaryota; kingdom Metazoa; phylum Chordata; class Mammalia; order Primates; family Hominidae; genus Homo; species Homo sapiens. Next base: position 148,807,641 of record NC_000007.14, read on the forward strand.
AGATGTCAAGGGATTTCCATTTCTCTTTCGATGCCGACATACTTCAGGGCATCAGCCTGGCTGTATCTGAAACAACAGGAAGGAGATGTCCGCTGGATGGCCACCCATCCAACATGTGCTGAGACTTAACACAACAAAGCCTGCTGAAGATAGTGGGTGCATTAAAATGTCTTTAAAAAAAAAAAAAAAAAAAAAACCCATCCAATTACACAGCTGCCTGCATAACGGCACATTCATAGAAGGCAATGCATAGGTCTGTGTTGCTGGCCATCTAATTGAGACGCTGCCAAGTTCTGAAGTGAACAAACCTGTCTACAAGCATTCCCAGAGCCTGACCAGCCTCCCCTATGCCTCTGAAGCAAGTGGTCCCAGGAAGGCTGGTCCACATCAGGATGCTTAGGCCTGACGCTGGGAAGGCAAAATAGAACCATGGTCTGGAAAAAATGATGACCATAGCAAAGAGGGCCAAAGAGCAGCCCGCCAGTTGCTCCCCCAGGTGAAGCAAGAACTGGAGTGCAGCGGACACCCAGAGAGGAGCACAAGAAGCCCACCATGGGGGGTGAGGCCACCGGGTCATCCCAAGGAAGCTCCACCCCACACTCTTCATTCAGAGCCAGCCTGGAGTGAAGGCAGCGGCCTTTGCTAAAGTGGGCCCTTCACTCAGACCCTGTCTGCCTCACTGAGAGCTCGCTGCTGTGCAACAGCCATTAAAGGCCAGCCTGAATATGCAAGAACACAGTACTCAAAGACAGCTTCTGGATGGGATGTACACGGGGCTACAGGAGTTCATTAACTAGACAGTCATCTGACTGCACTTAAATCTGTATTCAATGGCTGACTTAAATGTATCCCACAGAGCTTGACAGTGTCAACTGGCAGCCTAATGCCTAACCACACAGATACCATTGGTGGCCCACGTGTCCCAGGCATCCCCACAGGGTGATCAGACAGCGATTTGCCAACAGCCCCTTTTAAAATGGTAATGATATGTGTAATAAGTATTATAGCAAACAATAAATTAAGTAGATCTAATCCATAAAGATATGCATAGTATATTGTCAAGTAAAACCATGTTGCAGAAAAATCTATAGGACAGTGTGATCGCACTTATCTGGAAAACGCTCCACGAGTGAGCATGCAGCATGCGGCATGATATGAGAAGGTCTAGGACTCACCCAGCTGTCAACAGCAGGGTGAGAAATGGGGCTTTCTGCATGGATTTTACTCTATTTTAAAAATAAGCATGCCTTGTATAATATATAAATGGATAATAAATACATAACAGGAAAGTGTAACCTAATTCCCCACTAATGCTCATGGCAAAGTGACCCATCAAAAGAAGCAAAGAACTAAAAACCCTCCTTTGTCCAGAGTTCACAATCCAGTAGAAAAAGCCCTTAGAGATCATGCTAGAAATGTACTTTACCAACCTGTAATCAAAAAACAGCTCTTCGCCAGTCTGGATGGCTCTCTTGGCAAAAATACCTATCCTGTGATCACCGTTAACCATCATAACTGCAAAGAGACACACTGGTGTCAGTGAGCATGAAGACGGGCCACGGGGGGTTAACTGACTTGTTCACATAACAAACAACTATCCCAGAAGTATTCAAGTCCATCATCACAGGACTGAAAAGGGAGTTCCAATTCTCACGTCAAAGGTACCTACCTTTTGCATAGCAGTTTGGATTTACCGAATGATTTGCAAAACGAATTTTGTTACCCTTGCGGGTTGCATCCACCACAAAATCTAAAAAGAAAAAAGTAAGCACAGCCCAGTGAATAATTTCAGTTATAAGTAAACCAAGTTATTATGATTTTGTAAATGCAACTGGTTACAGTTCTTCAGGGTTTGCCTGCAAAAGCAAATAAATCAAGCAGCTTCATTCAGTAAGAAATGACATTTGGAAGAACACACTATTGTTCCAGGTTAAAATTAATCACCTATAATTCAAGATGGTTATCTGACTCAAAAGCTATTAATTATCAACTATAAACATACATTACTGAGCAAAACATAGCAAAAAAAAAAAAAAATCTGACAAAATTCTTCCAAACATCACGAATAGGCATTTTCACATTTAAAATTAGTTTTTTTCATTATAATGTCTATAAAGCATTCATAGAAAAAAACCTATTCTACTTGTTCCAACTAAGAGTTTCTCTGAATATCTTACATGTTAAGCCTACCTCCATTTTCACATAATCCCACCAGAAACATCCCTACACAGCCTTACATTCTACCCCAGAACATCAGCTATGAAAGCAGCTGCCTTTCCTCTCAGTCCTTTGAGAATATCCAGGGGAGTCTGGAAGATGGTTGCAAATGCAGTGCTCCTCCCCTCCTTCCCCGCTCAGAGGCACTGACTGGAGGAGGTGTGCTGAGCTGCCTGAACACAAGAGGTGAGGTGAGCAGCAAGAGCACAACGTCCCCTTCACAGCCAGATGCTGGGATAGTGCCACCCACAGACAGCCGGGACTCCAGAGAGGCGGTTTCCTGCACATCTAGTCTATCTGCTCCCTGAGGAATTCCTTGCTCCAGTTCCTTTCAAGCAAGCAGCCCCCCATGCCTCTAAGGAGATCCTCCTTCTGGTCACCTCACTGACCTCTACCCTCGTTTCTGAACACTCGGCCGGCAGAAGGCTGCCACATGCAACTCAGGAACTCACTGCCTCCCAGCTCTGAAACATACCATTGTTCAAGTTGAACAGAAAGCTGCACATGTATTTATCATACACTTTCCCTCTTCTGTCAGCTTCATCTTGAGAAATAATCTAAAAAGAAAGACACAGGAGAAAATTCTTTTGGATAAAGGTGATCAAGCCTGACAGAACACACAAAAGCGCACAGAGTGAATACTGGACCTTCTGGAGAAAACGCAACAAAAAGGGTCACTACAGCCAAGTTCTCTTTCCCATTCGGTCTGCGCAGTAATAAAGAATAACTGTATACTAAGGACCCCAACTCAGAAATATTTCCACATCCTGAAGTAATTATCCTTGGAGAAAGTGAGGAACCAAAGTCTTTTTGCTGAGTTTTTTAAAAAAGCCGGCTGCAGTGGCTCACGCCTGTAATCCCAGCACTTTGGGAGGCCGAGGCGGGCAGATCACCTGGGCGCGGTGGCGCATGCCTGTAATCCCAGCTACTCGGGACACTGAGGCAGGAGAATCGCTTGAACCCGGGAGGCTGAGGTTGCGGTGAGCCAAAATCACGCCATTGCACTCCGGCCTGGGCAACAAGAGCGAAACTCTGTCTCAAAAAAAAAAAAAAAAAAAAAAAAAATTTGGGTGAGCTGGTTCCAAACTGAAGCTAGGCCTATGATTTTTCGGTAACACTGTCGACAATTTAAAAGGTGAATAACTAATGACGTTGTTGTTTCTAGGTCCTTATCAACTAGGTTGTGGATTAAGCAGGCCACTCTATGGTAAAGCTCTTGTTCTCCCTGTTGTCCCTAGACGAGAAAAACTAAATGTGGCTAGAACCAAGCAATCCTGTTTTGTTTTGCTTTTTTTCCCCTCTGAGACAGGGTCTCACTTTGTCGCCCAGGCCGGAGTGCAGTGGCACAAACATGGCTCACTGCAGCCTCAACCTCCCAGGCTCTTCCAGGCTCAAGCGATCTTCCTGCCTCAGCTCCCAAGTAGCTGGGACTACAAGTATGCACCACCACGCCCGGCTAATTTTTGCATTTTTTGTAGCAATGGGGTCTTGCCATGTTGCCCATGCTGGTCTCCAACTCCTGAGCTCAAGCAATCCACCTGCCTCGGCCTCCCAAAGTGCTGGGATTGCAGGAGTCGGCCACCGCGCCCAGCACAATCCAGTTACTAAGCATGCAAATCCACAAACATGCAGAAGTCCAGGCTGAAAAGGCAGTTTATGGCAATTCATTTCCAATCAAACCCACAGACTTACCTAATAAAATCAATCTAAAATAAAGTAAAGTTAGTATATACAATGCCACCTGAATACAGGTTATCAGTGCCTTACCTCTCCACAGTATTCTGAGATGAATTCATTTTTCTGCACAGGATCTTTGATAAAAATCCCCCAGCCTGCCACGTCAGATGGTGCCAGCAATAGATGCTAGAGAATAAAACACAATCACATCATCAAAAAAGGAGGGTGAAAATGGACTGGGGACAAAGTAGACTACAGAATGAAAACAAAAGCTATCACTGTAAATCCTCAGACCTGTTTGTTCTAAGGCAGTAATTGGGCACACAGCTTCAGTCAACGTGAAAGCTGCTGAGAATGGCTATGAACATTATGTTTTCCTTATACAGCAGATAAGAATCTCTGTCTTACAGAAAACCTTTTGGTGGTGTTGGTCCTCTGCAATGACCATCGTTCAGCAAGGTGCTCTAGGCCTGCTGCACTTTTGGCTTCCCTGTATCTTCAGCCCTTGATTTCCTCGAGTAATTCACTTTCAACCTGAATTTAATATAAGGACACCACCAAATCACTCTTCCTCTCCATACCTTTCCCTCTACTTTCCCCAAGTGATTCTATTAATAGTTATTCCATTTTCAGCCCCAGGACACCCCCTGATTCTTCACTGGCGTTGGTTCCCTCTGAAGCCCATAGCAGCTTGGCTTTGGATTTGTTCTTCCACCCCACCTCCTCAGGATAACACAAGAAACTACCGGGAGGTGTTATCATGATCTTGTCAGTCCAGTAGTCTATTTTCAGCAGAAATGCCAAGATGATCATTGCTATAAATTATGTATTTAGGGATGTGTTCCCCAACATATGCCAATTTTTCATCACGGCTCAGTATTATGCTTTCATCCAAAATTTTCTTGTGACCTTTACAAAGGCTTCCTATCTATTCCTATTCTGGACCATCTTACCACTCACCTGTCATGTGAACTTCCCAAATAGCCTTCTGATCAGAAACTAAATTAGCTAAATACTGCTATGCAAATGAAACCCAACTGGTAAAAGGTATCTACATAGTTTAACATTTTTAAGAGTTAAAAAATGTCTTACAAAGAGGACATGTCAGTATGAATAGAATTGCCCACTTTCTGAACAAAGTGAGGAAGGAGTACAATGGTAAGTTGTTTGGGGGGGAAATTGAGATTTTTAGGTCTGAGCAGGTATGCCATCGGAAACGGAACCAGAGTCACTGTGATCCAATGACCTAAATGGACATATAACTGCCTAGAGTAAAATCATCTAAATGTCTAACAGAAAAGAAAAAAGTCAAAGCTAAAAACAAAAAGCCCACCACCCTGCACAACTCTCTGCCATAAACACAGACTTTGGTTCAAAGACACAAACAAAACCAAGAGAACTTCAATGTTTTGCCTGGAGCAGAATTTCTGGTAGAAGGGGACTTGCTGGTAAGAAGTGTGTTCTCAATTATAAATAAATGGTCCAACAACAAAGATATGTCTACTCTACACCCCACATACACACACACACACACACACACACACACACACAGAGCATAAGAGCAGGTTAATGGGAGCCTGGAGGATTTGATCTCCTGCTCCTTTACAAGTCTTGTGACTTTGGGTTTCCTTACCCGTAAAATGGGGGTTAACACTTACTCCTCACTCACAGGGTTAGGAGAATCAATGAACAAATCCACTAAAGCACTCACAACAGTGCCTATTTTTACATGCTTAATAAATGTCAGCTATTATTATAAAAAGAACTGACTGAAGAAAGAACTTATCATCTGCCCTAAAAAAAAAAAAAAGATACGAAATTTCCCAAATACATGCTGCTGAAGTGTCTTTTGCTCAATCATTACTTCCTGGCTGATAGAGTTAACTCACCTACATACAATTCCCCAGACTAAAAATATATAGTTCCTAGCTGGGTTTTTTTCAAGGTTATTAAACAAACAGGAAGTAAGTCTATAAAAACCTGCCATGGGAAATTTCATCTTTTACTCTACATAGCAAGGAATCTATAAATACTCTTTGATGAGAATGAGTCTATATTTTGATAGAAATCACCATTTATTTGCATTAAGGATACTAGATAAACTATTAACTAAAAGACAAATTCAAATAATCTATTAAACAGGTAGAAAAAATACCTCTTATTCCTAAATCTGATACCATGAATGGCTACTTCTCAGAATTTGCTGGTTTCTCCTACTATCAGAGTATGGTGCTCTATATAAAACTGAAGAGACTGCCCAAGGGTGCATTACCCAGAGAAAATTATGAACACTTTCTCATCAGTTGCACCTTTCAAGGATCACTTTTACTTTTTGCCCCAGCTAAATCATCTAAGGCAATCCTGACATTTGCATCACTAAATAGCTAACTACAAACAATCTTCCAGAAGTGACTTGTTGCTCACCTTTTTGGAGCCCCGCTGAATACTGCAGTTCTTGCAGGACACATTTTTACTGTCCCAATGGTCAGCGGCTCCACAAGTAAGACAGAGGTCAGGGTCACACTCTCGGACAGCCAGGTAGCACGGGCACTGCTTGGTGTTGCACTGTGCTTTGCAGCGGCATCCCGGAAAGCGGTTTTGACCTTCAGAGAGAGGTTTGGAGGTTCTTCACTCATCACCGTATGCAAAAACTTGCAGAAAGATACGTGGCAAGGGCTGTACTGGGCATCTCACTGACTCTCAACCCTCACAACCACCTTATTACCCTACTATATAGACAAGGAAATGGAAGTATTAACAGCGAAGTTATAGCTGTTTGCACTGAAAAAGACCACCACTGAGTTGTTTTTCCATTTTTCATTTGTTAAATAGTGTATATATTTAAAGTCGGTGTGAATAAAGGGTCTGGATGGAACAATATCCATGGTCCTTGACCATTCCAATAGCCCCTAGTTCTAAACACTCCCTTAATACCCAAGCTTCATGTGCAGTCTCATTAAACAATTATAAAAATCTACTATGTTTATGCTACATTCCTTTAATCTGAAGACTAAAACCCTCCTAACTCTGACGATTTCTGGTGCCCAAAAATTATTTGGGTAGCTCCTTCTAGATTCCTCTTACAATCTGTGCCAACTTTAATACAACTTAATTTAAATGATCAAAGAAGAAAAAAATAAAATTCAGGTTCCTTTAATACAACTTTGCCTGCCTCACACACACAGACACACAACACCCAGGCGACTGACTGGCCACTGGCACAGGGCCAGGTATGGGGCTCAATAAATACTTGTCAAATTGATGAGTTTCGTCAAGTAAACAAGGGAGTGCTCCCATGTTCTTATTTTTGATTTTTTAAATTGCTAACCAAAGACCTATTTAGTTCTCATGCAATTGCATCAAAGCAACAAATACTTACACTCTGAACTACATTGACAAAACTTTTCACAAAAATTTTGTGCTATCACACAAGGGCACGAACTGTCACAAGGCTGCCGTGGATGATCACAGGGTTGATAGTTGTAAACATGGTTAGAGGAGCCGTCTGAGTAAAGATAACATCATGCAGGCCAATGAATCCAGGGAGATGGAAACGATCATACACAATTAACACGAGTACATTCTTCCCTACTACCTGTGGAGTGTAGCTGGCCTGCCTTTACTGAATGCATAACATTACACATATTCCGGTTTCCACAACGATGGCAAAAAATACTCTCCCACCCCCAAGTGCTTATGAGTTCCATCTAAAGCACGGCTACATCTCAGTCCCATCCCAAAGCACTTCTCCTTCAACTGACTCGGACTCACACCTTCCAGTCAGCCTCCACTTTACAGAAGAGAATTGACTGGGGATTCATCAGTAGACGTCCTCCATTCAAATTGGTTTAACATACAGAAGGCAATTATATTAGAATAACCCAAGCTCTAATCCAGTTACTATTCTAAAACAAATGAAAACAAAGCAGATATTGTTAAGCTAATAATGAGAGGAATGGAAAGATGCTAACCCTTTTTCAGCTGTATCTTTCTGCAGTGTGCAGCCCACAACCTGCAAAAACACAAAGAAAATTAAACCAAATTTCTGCGGGAAGCTACAAATCCAACAGAGAGCTGCTTAACTGGATCTATCTGTGCCATGAATACAGGAATGCGTTAAAGCCAAGAGTCATGCCCTGCCCAGTTTATATTTGCCATCAGTTTGAAGCAACTCAAACAGCTTGATGGCTCAGGCTGCCCCAGGTGTGGCAAGACGTCATTTCCTGTGTTCATCCATGACTCCTGGTCAGAACTCCTGAGCTCCCAATGCTGCACAAAGCAGCAGGTGTGTCTGCCTGTTGATTTATTCTGATGTGGATGACACTGATCACTTCCTCTTATTTCAGGCATCATAAACCAAGCAAGTGAACTACGTGGTCAGAAATAATTCAACCAAAATTTCAGAAGCATCTCCTAAAGCCTAAAAAATAAAAATAAAAACTTGACTTTAAAAAAATTCTAAATTGGGTTGGCCCTACACTTATTTTTGTTAAAGTAAGAAAATGTAACATGAGCCTGTACACAATTTAAGAAGCATAATCTAACTGCACCCTTACCTACCCAATTAGGTTTCTCATTTTTAAAAATGTGAGGTAGAGGTATGGGGAGATTAGAGCAGATAGTCCACTCATCAATTTTTCTGGTTCTACATTTACAAATCAAATCAGCCTGAAAACATTCGCTAAGGTGAAAATAACATTCACACAAGCTTAAAGTAGGGTACCCATTAGGAGTATCGGAATGCAATGCCACACAACTTAGAAATTCAAGCTCCTGGAATAAAAGATACTTCTAAAAACTGGCCCAGAGCTCACATCAGAAACACAGAACATTTCATGATGTTAAAGTAATTGTTTACGTAACCTTTACTGCAAAAGCTACTAAATATGTTTTTCTTAACCCAAATGCAGTCTGGTAACCGTAATTTTTATGACTCTTAACATACCAAATATACTGAAGGCTGCTGTATTCTTATAGAAAAATACTAGCAATTCCCAGTGGAAATAAGATTCCATAGTTCTGTTTTTGATGGCAGTTTAAGGTTTTTTAAAAATAGACTAAGTAGAAACCAACAACAGCCCTTAGGAAGGGCCTTGCCTGCAGTGTCTATCTATGTTGACTTCTCTAAGGAGCTTCATGACAGACTCACCGGTGTTTCCTCTTCTTTTTCCTTGGAGGAGTATCCACATCCTCAGCGGGAGCTGGAGCTATGATGCTAGATTCTTTGACTCTAAACTCATACACCTGACAAGAGGCACAGTCACAGAGCCATGAGGACAGTCTTATTTAGGCAAACCATTCTTATACTCATGCATACCAGAAAAATGTCTTTGTCTCTTCTGTGACACTGCTAGATGCTGGGGATATAACACACATCGCTGTCCCTACCCTCACATTAGGGGTAGCTGTAATTATATTCTGGTCAAGAACTGTGATGCTAAATTTCAATTCTTACTAGCTTTTAAAAGCTACTGCTATCTAACCTTAAAAGTCTACATTGGGGAAATTCTGTAACATACCTGGAGAATAATTTTCATTCAATTCCCTCTTGGGAAGAAAAAAAAATTATTTTTAGGAGATGAATAGGAGCTTAGTAATAACCAAGAATTTTCTTTGTTTGGACAACGAGTACAGTTTTATCTCTATGTTTGAAGCTCTTTTAACAACATTTTTATCGGATATCTTACCTGTCTACATGTTTTGGTCCCAATTAACCTAGCAATGGCACAGAAATTGTCATAGTAAGTGCCAATGAGGACTCTAAACATTGAGGCTTCAGCACCACTCCACTCCACATTCTCAGGAGGTTCAATATTTGGCTTCATCTTTATTGGTGTTTGACACCGAGAATTTGCTTCTACAAAACCAAATGTAAGCACTGGTCAAGAAATGATTGGAAATAATATTAAGAAGTACAATTCAGGGTGTGCTTAAGAAAAAAGCGAAAAGATGAGGACAACTCAAATCCAATCGGCAAAACACTAACCCATCGTAGTTCACATTTTCCAACAAAACTACTCACAGAACGTCAAGAATATTAAACCAAATGATCCAAATTTCATTATTCCCTACCTGAGAAAGATCGAAAAAAGAAAATGGCACAAAGAATGAGAATAAAGTGCATCATCAGCTTTCAAACAACCAAGCAGGGCAAACACCACAAGCTAGGGTACGGGTGCAGGCAGGAAACAGAAACAACACAGCTACACATTCTTGAGATAACTCTGGTCTTTATACTGAAACTAACCAACTAAGAAAATTATTCAATGCATTATACATCCTTAATCCTCACAACACGAACTTTCACAGAACAGTAAAACCCAGTTATTAGACGTGTCTTACCAGAGGAGCTCGAAGTTTCATCTTTCTTCTCTTCTTCTTCTTTATCATTGTTCTCTCCCCCCGTTTCAGTCCCTGCTTCCCTATCACTGTCTGTATCCTTTGATTCCAGCACATTAATGGTGGGGGTGCTGGGCCTGCTACTGTTATTGGGAAGCCGTCCTCTTCTGCGGCCTCCTGGACGTTTTGGTGGGGTCTTTATCCGCTCAGCGGTGAGAGCAGCAGCAAACTCCTTTGCTCCCTCCTACGAAATGAAAAATGTCAACATCAGGGCAAAGTTCTAAAACTCATTTTGATGGAAGAGAAAAAAAAATACTATATAAGCCAGGTTAGTCAAAAAATGTATCACATTATCCATTTATCACAAATAATCATTTGCATGTCTAATATACTTGTTTTGATATGCTTTTGATAGTCTGAAAATTTCAGAAAGAGAAATATGGGTTCTATATATTCCTAGAATGGTACAAAAATCAGGCAAGACAGTTCTATATTGTGAATTTGTAAAATATATTAGCTAGTTATAATTAAGTTAAAATATAAGAAGATAAAGTATGAAATATACTTCATGTAATAAAGGTAATTATCTCTATGGACATACAGTCTATTTAAAAGTGAATCTTTACAAAAGAATCATATACCTAATGTGCACGGAGTCAGACTACCTATGCAGAGTTTAAGATAATGCATACCTCTTCGTGTTAATATTTCAACTATACAAGAACACAAAACACAAACATGCTTGACTTTGTCACTTCCTGTCTTACTATTAAAACATCCAACATTTTTTTTTTTCCTGTGAAGGATACACAGCCACAGGAAGACATGAAAGGAACTTCAGGAATAAGACTGTGAGGGTTACATCTTGCATTATGAAGTACAATAATCCAGTCTCAAAGTATAAAACAATGGTAAGAGCATGGTTTATAGAGACCACAGAAACATTTTAGATGAGCCAAACAAAATTCTGCCTTGTAAAGAATATTATAAAACAAGTGCTCAAGAATTCCATTTTTTTAGTGGAAATAGAAGGGAGAAGTTTGACAGCAGCCAACAGTTTTATACTTCATTCTACAAAAACCAAATTGCTTAAAAATAGGATACCTTCTGCAGGTGCCATTCAATGAATCTTCTGTCCAAAATCCAACAGGCAATATATACCCATTTAGTTCCTAGGTAGGAGTGGCTTGGTTCAAAGAGGGGAAATGGTAAAAATAAGAGAGTACCCGTAAAAACAACTTTTCTACCTCATATTTTCCTAACCCCTTACCTGTTCTCCATCATTTAAAAAAAAAAAATCTGTGGAACCTATCACATAGCTGAAATGACAGTGCATCTAAAACTCAAGTAGAGGGATATGGCTATGAGAGGGGCTTGGGATCTACTGCGTATGATTACTGCATGCCTGCTTTCTAAGCGGACTATCTGTGCCTTGCAACTCTCATAGACTTTGTGGAAGGCATAAAAGTCCTTGATCCTAAAGACCTTGAAATGTTGCTGAAGAGATAACACAGATTTTAAAAAGAATAATACCACATTAATGAAGGACTAAAATGTGCAGTACATGAGCTATGGAAGAAACAGCATGGGTGAGAAAGCTCTGTCTATCATATGGCCCATAACAGCATGGGTGCAGACAACATTAACGCTGACTTGATCACCTCCACCAAAGTGCAAAGTCCTCTCAAGTACCCTCTGCAATAATTAGGCACTAAGTCTTACCAAATGCTGGTAACACTGTGGTCCACAAGGTTTGTTGTCTAGAGCTGTTTCTGTGTTCTTCCGCTTATAAGTGTTGGGTGTTGCATGAAAAGCTGCAAAATAAATGAAACAAAGAATCTAATATAACTATAAAATACTTACTTTTTCACTCTTCCAGTTCCACTGGAAAAGTCAATTAATGGATTATAATCTTGCTAATATGTGGTTTACGTTACTTCATACAACTTTCCTTCAGGCTCTTACTGAATGATCACAACGTATTCTCCATTCCTCCTCCTCCAACCATTAAGCAGGAAGGAAAAACAGTAAATTCTGGAATGAGTCGTGATTTCTCATTTTTCTCCTTGCAAGTAAAACTGATGCGCATAACTATGGTTATAAACATTTACTTAAATTGAATCTTACTATCTCTGTCTAAGCAGTTGATAGACCCTCTACAATTAAATCAGATTTCCTATTTTTAATTCTGACATACAATTTCTTGATTTCTAAAGAAAGGTCAGCAATCAGCTTGTCACCAGTTGTAAAAACTCATTTTTAATGATAAAGAGGACAGCCCCAGATTACTAACATTCAATTCCTGTGAATCATACCCAATCCAAGAACCTGGTGAGAGCTTATAGTGTCTTGCCACAGAAAATTACAATGTCAAAAAAACGGATTTTAGAAAGATACACTGTTTGAAACCTAAAATTCCAAAATAATGTAACAGAAAGATTCAAATGCGGGTACACTGCTACATGAAAAGAGTGTGAACATTGACAGCAGTGCTAACTTCACAGAATTTCTTGCAAAAACTTACTTCCTCATATACAAAAGGGAAATGCTGGAAATGGACTATTCAGAATTATACAAGATGAAAATTAATTTGGAGAAAAACAAGTGACATTTCCACAAAACAAATCATCTTTTAAATATTTGTAAAAAGCCATATTTAAAGACTGAGAAAAGGAAGGAAAAAAAAAAAAAAGGACAAAGTTGTGTTTTTAAAGAAGAAAAATTCAAGGCTCAGATTCTGTTGGAAGCGTGTGAGCAATTAGGCTCCAGACAGCCTAACACCAATACTAATCTGGTGCTGGATTACGTTTGTTAAGGAACCCTAATACAACTGTTTTTCTGTTTATGAGTTAAACTAACATTGTAGCTGGTTCTCTGAAGAAAAAAATACATAATTTAAAATACAAAAACCACTTCTTAACAAAAAAGTGACAATGAAATATATAGAGAACAAGAATATTAACAAAAATAAAACGAACATTAGAGAACACATAAACTTCATACAAATAAATCTCAAAACCTGGATGTAAAGAATAATTTTCTAAAACTCATCCAGAAGAGACAGAACATTTATCTCTATCTACCAGCACTACTAATTTTTAAACTGTACTGAAACTACAAGCTAAAGTAGGTAGAAAAGACAGTTACAGCTCTTTTAGAATTTGTCTAGCAGGCTTTCTGGTTTTTATCAGAAAGCCTCCCCACTCCCCTCCCCCGCCCAACCAAAAAATAAATAAATAAAGTAGGTAGAAAAGAGAAAGAAGCTTCAGTTATAAAGACTGGATAGAAGGTAAAACCATTAATAACTACAGACAGTATAATTACACAGCTGGAAAACTCCTAAGAATGTACTGAGAAACTGATAAAACATGAAGACAATGCAGTAAGGTAGCAGGGTACAAAACAGAAGACAAAATGTGGAAAAAGCCCAACAGCAGCAGCAAGTTTAATACCTAGAAATACTCAACAAAAAATGTACAAGAGTCACATAAAGAAAACTTGGGAGATAATTAAAGGACACAAAAAGAGAGGTGATGGTATGGTTAGTTAGACTTAACCCTTATATTTTAAAAAGAAATTAGGTAATTTATAAATTTAATGGGATTCCAATAAACATACCACTAATTTTTTTTAAAAAGAACTAGACAAACAGATTTTGAAATGTATATAGGCTGGGTGCAGTGGCTCACGCCTGTAATTCCAGCACTTTGGGAGCCCAAAGTAGGAGCATCACTTGAGGCCAGGAGTTTAAGACCAGCCTGGGCAACATAGTGAGACCCTATCTCAAAAAAAGAAAAAGAAAACTAACCAGCAATGGTGGTGCATGCTTGTAGTCCCAGCTACGCAGGAAGCTGAGATAGGAGAAGAGCTTGAGCTCAGGAAGTCAAGGTTGCAGTGAGCCATGATTGTGCCACTGCACCACTCTGGCCTGGGTGACAGAGCAAGACCCTGTGTATGTATGTATGTGTGTATGTATATATATCTCTCTCTCTAAATAAATAAATTTATATAGAAAAACAAGAATTGCCAGGAGATCTCTGAATACCGCCTCATGAATAGACTAAAGGAACACAATGTTGAGAAACCCAAATACATATGGCAACAGGCAATGAAGGAAATATCTCAAGGTAGTGAAAGATGAACTTTTCAGTAAATGAAACAACTAGGCAACTTTGGAAGTGAGGAGGAGGATCAGATTTATAATCCACATCATATTAAATTCCAAATGGATCAAAGATTTATGTTTTTAAAAATGAAGCCTAAAACATACTAGAAAAAGTGAGAAACGCTTTATAATCTTGGAATGGGAAAGCTAACTGATAAATTCAACTACTTTTTAAAAAATGTTTAAACTGACCAGGTGCAGTGGCTCACACCTGTAATCTCAGCACTTTCAGAGGCTGAGGCGGGCAGATCACTTGAGGTCAGGAGTTTGAGACCGGCCTGGCCAACATGGCAAAACCACATCTCTACTAAAAATAGAAAAATTAGCTGGATGTGGTAGCACATGCCTGTAGTCCCAGCTACTCCAGAGGCTGAGGCACAAGAATCCCTTGAACCCAGGAGGCAAAGGCTGCAATGAGCCAAGATCACACCATTGCACTCCAGCCTGAGCGACAGAGCAAGACTGTCTCAAAAAAAAAAAAAAGTTTAAACTTTGCTTATGGGACTTTTACCAAATAAACTTGAAAAAAATTGCAACTCATATTTCAAAAAACCTAATTTCCTGATTATATAAAAAGCTCCTAAGACATCAAAAAGATCTATGAGACCAAGAATAAAAATAGGCCAGGCGCAGTGGCTCACACCAGTAATCCTAGCACTGTGAGAGGCTGAGGTGGGTGGATTACCTAAGGTCAGGAGTTTGAGACCAGCCTGGCCAACATGGTGAAACCCTGTTTCTACTAAAAATAAAAATATGAGCCAGGTGAGGTGGTGCGCGCCTGTAATCCCAGCTACTCAGAAGGCTGAGGCAGGAGAATCACTTGAATCCAGGAGGCAGAGGTCGCCGTGAGCCAAGACTGCACCACTGCACTCCAGCCTGGGCGACAGAGCGAGACCCGTCTCACAAAATCAAAAAAACAAAGAATAAAAATAGTTCACTCTTCAACATATAGGAAGATCCTACCCTCATTCAAAGGAATTAAATCCAGATATTAAAACAATGCTTATCACCTGTGGGAAGCAGAGATTAAAAAACAAAGAAAAACAAGAATTTAAAAATAATGCTAAAAGCCATTTTTCACTTATAAAATCAATTTTAAAAATTAGTTTGGTAACACCTTCTATGGGCAGGGCTCTCTGACTTTGCTGGTAGGGCTTTAAAGTGCTGCATCCCCATATGGCAGGTCATTTGGCAATACCTAAATAGAGTTTATCAGGTAAACTTAAACTTGCATGAAATGGGTACAGATATTTGCTGTGGCATCGTTACAGCATAAGGCTCAAAATAATCCAAATGGTCACCATTAGAGACCAGTCCAGTAAGTTCTGGAACCTCCTACAGCACAGGCTATGCAGCTATACAGATAAAGCTAATAGCTACAATATTAAATCCTATCCTTATTCCAAAAAAAGGGAAAAGCCTGAATGCTATGCCACCATGTAAATAAGACGGTCAGAAAAAAGGGTATCTTTATACTTGTCAAAGAAACTGTAAAAAAAATACGAGAACCAATAAAAGTGGTTAACTACTAATAAAAGTGGAAGAGTGAGGTAAAATTTCGAAGGATGGGGAACAGAAAGTCATTGGGAGACTTTATTGTACACATTTTCATACTTTTTTTTTTTTTTTAAGAGATGGGGTCTCACTCTGTCACCCAGCTGGAGTACAGTGGCATGATCATAGCTCACTGCAGCCTCAAACTTTTGGGCTCAAGCAGTCCTCCCACCTCTGCCTCCCAAAGCACTGGCATTAAAAGGATGAGCCACCGCGCCCAGCACATCTTCATATTAATACTTTTTGGAAACGTAAACCATGTGAATGATGACCTATTTTAAAAACAACAATAGCTAACAAGAGCCAGGTACCATTTTAAGTATCTTCCCCACATTAATTCATCTAATCCTCACAACAGCTCTGTAAAGGAAGTACTACCGTATCCCCAAGATAAGAGACCAGAAAACTAAAGCACAAAATGCTATATTCAACATAAAATCGACCAGGCGTGGTAGCTCACACCTGTAGTCCCAACACTTTGGGAGGCCAGGGCAGGTGGATCACTTGAGGTCAGGAGTTCAAGACCAGCCTGGCCAACATGGTGAAACCCCATCTCTACTAAAAATACAAAAATTAGCTGGACGTGGTGGCGGGCGCCTGTAATCCCAGCTACTCAGGAGGCTGAGACAGGAGAATCCTTTGAATCCAGCAGGCGGAGGTTGCAGCGAGCTGAAATCACACCACTGCACTTCAGACTGAGCAACAGAACGAGACTTCGTCTCAAAAAAAAAAAAAAACAACAACAACAACAAAAAAGAAACAGTCATGTGCTGCATACCATCTGAGTCAATGATGGACCGCATATACAACAGTGGTACCATAAGATAATATTGTATTTTTACTGTATATTTTCTATGTTTATTATGATTTAAACATACAAATACTTGCCAATGTGTCACAACTGCCTCCAGTATCCAGTACAGTGGCATGCTGCAGGGATATGTGGCCTAGGTGTGTCATGCGCTGTACCATCTAGGTTTGTGTAAGTACACTCTGTGTTTACATAATGCCAAAATCACCTAACAACACATTTCTCAGAATGCATCTCCGTCCATAAGTAATGCATGATTATATATATTTAATGATTTATTTAGTAACTTATTTTACCTAAGAAAAATATACCATGTGTGGTATTTTGTCGAAGTTAACGTAAAACAATGAAGTTCCTACAGAACTCAATAGGACTGAATGATGAAGACACTGGCTCTACTGTAAAAAGAAGTAAAAGTGGGCCTAGCACAGTTGGACCCATGGCCACCAAATGCTACAAGGAGGCAGCCAATTAGCCCCATGAAAGCCAACTTTATTAAAGTAAAATATTCCACTGTTCTCCCCAGCTAGAATGAGGTAAGTAACAGGTTCAAGATTCAAGTTAACAAAAAAAAAAATTACTCATCTCTGAATGGCACAATAAAAAACTTGTAATGTTTAAAAGTAGTGTCCTACTTCTATGGTTCATTTTTACAGCAAAAAAACTTTATTAAATGCTACATCTATAAACAACAAATTGGAAGGACCTTTCAGCGACTCCAAAATAGTGCTTCCACTCAATTCTTTTGCTATAGTGATATCTACATACAATGTCCAATAGTCTTAATAAAAACTCGATGTAATTCATAAATTCATGGTGTGTAAAGGGAAATTAAAATGAAATTCAAGACAACTATTTCAAGGGCTTAACTGTCCAATGGCTGAAGCAACAAATGGATGACTTACTACGAATTTTTAAAACTACCAAATCAATTTAAACTAGATGAGGAGTTAGAACAAGAGCAAGGAGGTAACAATATAATGATAATTCTAAAAATCTACTTCAAGTTTTTCTATTTTAAGATAACTAAACCACTAATATGTCACACACAAAAACAAAACTTAACATTTCCAGACCAATGTATTACATCACTCAACACATTATTAGCTGCAGCAAAAACAAGTAGAGCAAACACTTAGGAGGAGGTGAGGTACAGCTGCTTGGGCAAGCTTAAAAAGACGTTATCATTGGTGAACGAGGAGGAATAAATCTGTCAATGGTAGGCACAGGAACTCAAAACAACAAAGCAATGTGGGGCCGTTGAGTACAGGGGAAAACGATTTTACAATGGGTCAAAGCCCCTAAAGAAATTACCATGCCATAGACAGACGTACTAAAATACAATATAGGAAAAACCAAACTATAATAAGCAAACTACTCTAGGAAAATTAGGAAGTATTAAATACATTTTCAAAATATGTGCCTCAAAAGTAGTTGACGCTTTTAAACTGTGCTTAGAAGTTTCAATTACCAGGAAAATTTACTAAGAAACCACATTCCCTAGAAATGCCAGAGGAAAAAAGTATTTTTGTATATACCATACTTACATTTTCACTAAGAACATTTTACGTTTTACTTGTATTCAAATGCAGGTATTTTTAAAAAACAACTTACCCAGAGGGCAAAAAAATAAAATAAAATAAAATAAAATTACATTAAATCGACAAGCACTTACCTGAACATTTTTTTGGCCAATTTCTTATTTAACACAATTTATTCATCAATATCAGCAATGTTGCTCTGGGCTACCAGTTCATAATAATAGTTTTATTGTAAAACAACTGCTTAGTTAGCACTTACGGGGGAAAAAAAAAAAAATCACTGACCTGAATTCCATGTTAGTGGAAAATAGTAGTCCAAATGAAATACATGCAAAAGATTTCAGAGCAATCCTCAAGCAACAAAGTAAAAATAATAATACTGAGATCTAAAGATATTTGTCAAAGTAACTACAAGATTAAATGATAAATTCTAGTTGTAATAAATGATAGCACTCTCCAAGCTGCTTTAAAACATAATTCCACAACAAAGATAGAAAATGAAAACGTACAATAATTGCACTTACGATGTAGGAAGCAGTCATATTTAAAACATCGCCTACAGAAAAGCGTATGAAAGGAGTGTAAGCTTTGCTCTCTCTGAACAGATTTAGCATTTGGTCCATCTATGTTGGGGGTACATTCAGGAGGAAGTGCGCCTGGGAGCTGCTGTTCGGTGAGTTCTTTATATCTGACATTAACCAAGAAAAATTTAAGTAAACATGAAACAAAAATCACTTTTTTGAAAACAGTTTCTAAAAGGTTTCCATGTGTTACTTTTGATGTTTATCTTGCCTAAAACATAAAGGAATGGCTCTATTTAGATAAAGAGCCAACTAAATATTGTGCATGGTGTTATCAAGAATCAAATTCATCGATATGATTCAAATATATCATGGAAAAGGATATTATATTAGTTTTAACTAAACATCAAATTTCTACCAGTATCCAGATAATTTTCCTGTAAATGTACTACTGTAAATTTTATGTATATGTGTGTGTTTATGTGTATATATAAATTATACATATGTATTTATTCTATCTACAGGAAATATTTTGTAATGCAGAGTACCACAAGTACACATGTTGCTTCAAGTATCTTGCAAACACTGTAAACAAAGTGTAGTGGCTCATCCGCTACATTGATTCCATTTGTAATAAACCAAAATGGTGAGTTACATACCATACAGGGCAAGATTGCCTCAAAGGAACAAATTCTTACTTTTCCTTTAGTTCTTCTGCTGTGCCCTTATCTGGAAACATTGAGGAAATGGCTTCAAAAATTTTATCAGAAGGAAATTTCCGAGGTGGGCGGCTTTCTTTATCTAAACAGGAGAATATGAAAGGAAAAAAAGAATGGAAGTAAACAAGTTTTTGATCTTTCATTTTCTCTACCCAATTATGTCTCTATAACAAAGCTGATTTTCTAAGAAATCATCTCTATTTTGTGTTTTACTTACTTCTCACATACTTTACATGTCTGTGGAATGCCAGTCAGTCAAAAACAAAATTCAAATTCAAATATGAAAAGCTTTAAGAGCACTGGGAAGCAGAAAACCTAGGTTCTACTCCCAGCTCTGCTACTAACTGATTTTGTGACTTAGAGTGATCACTTTACCTCTTGGGTCTGTTTACTCATCTGTAAAATGAAGGAGCTGAACTAGATGATCAATAAGGTCAATAAGGTACCTTTTTGTTATTTTCTCTTTTTTGAAATACGCTTCTTAGAAATTGCTATTTCACCCGCCAAATTATTCTATTCTATGCTGCCTTAGCATGAGCTTTGCCAAGTAGAGAACACCAACTATTGACTCTGTTTCTTCCCAATAGTGTAATCTTATAAGTTACTTAACCTCTCTAAATCTATCCCCTCAAATAGAAAATGGATCTGACAGGTGGGGCGCAGTGGCTCACGCCTGTAATCCTAGCACTTTGGGAGGCCGAGGCAGGTGGATCACGAGGTCAGGAGATAGAGACCATCCTGGCTAACACGGTGAAACCCCGTCTCTACTAAAAAATACAAAAAATTAGCTGGGTGTGGTGGCAGGTGCCTATAGTCCCAGCTACTCGGGAGGCTGAGGCAGGAGAATGGCGTGAACCCAGGAGGCGAAGCTTGCAGTAAGCTGAGATGGGGCCACTGTACTCTAGCCTGGGCGACAGAGCGAGACTCCGTCTCGAAAAAGAAAATGGATCTGATAATAACATCCATCTCATGAAGCCATTATGAGGATTAAGTGAGCTGGTGCATAAGAAGTGATTAGTACACAACTTGTACACGGTGAATATCAATGTTATATATTATAATGATGCCCAGTGAAGCACACAAAAAATTACGTTCTTTGCTAGCCAAAGGAAACAAAGATACTCAAGTGAAGATAATGTTGCAAGTATTATGCTTTTTTTTTTCTTTTTTAAGGCAAGGTCTCACTCTGTCACCCAGCCAGACTGTGCAGTGGCACAATCACAGCTCAATGCAGCCTACACCTCCTGGGCTCAAGCAATCACCCTGTCTCATTTTTTTACTTTTTAGTAGAGATGGGGTCTCACTATGTTGCCCAGGTTGGTCTTGAACTCCTGGGCTCAAGCAATCTGCCCACCTTAGCCTCCCAAGTGCTAGGATTACAGAGTTAGCCACCCTACCTGGCCATAATATGTTAATTTTGATTATACTGCTATCAATGTGATATTTAACAAAGAAAGAAAAAGAGAAAGAAGAAACTAAGCCCTATTTCTACTCTTTCTACTGTTTTTGAAAGAAAGCTGTAATGGCTACACAGAATCCTAATAATCAGGCATACCATCTCGGTGATCCTCCAGATCTTTCTGCTTTTCTTCTCTTTCTTCAGGATCGTCTCCATCATCATCATCGTCATCATCATTATATTGACCAAGGGCATTCACCAACTCCACAAAAATTTCATCATTTATAAACCCACATTCTGAAACGCATCAAATGTCAGAAACACACAGGAGAAGCAATAATGTCAAAAGTTTATGTATCCTTTTTCTACTTGGACAAAACAGGCATAGCCTAGTAACTGGCACTAAAACATTATTATTGAAATGAGGGGAGGAAAAGATAAGATCATTTTCAGGACTGGTGTTAGGCAAAGGAAGCAAACTTATCTTTAATACCTGCTACTTTCTGTAGAATGGCCCCTCCCCAAAACTTTCTAGTAGAAAACTGAATCTTCTAGGAACTGATTGTGGCTTTGGCCTCCTCCCAAACAATGGATCTGTCCTTTAACTGATCATTTCAGACCCTGCTTTCTGCTGATAATGACAATGGATGATGATATTACAAATATTATCCTTTCAGACACTTTAACAGGGCCTCCTGGACACAAAAAACTGAAACCATGACTCTAAGGATTGAATTTCAGGTACTGTAGTCCCTAGAGGAGCGGTATTTTTTAGTAGTAGGGGCTGTTGGAGCCCCTATATGCCACAGAAGCAGAGCCCCAATCCTAATTAATTTTACTACTAAAGAATCTTAAAATCTACATACACTCAAGTTCTATTTAATTTACATGTTATTGCCATTATGTTATAACCAACTATGCATAATTATCAGGTGGCAAACATGATCCTCCTAACTAATTTTCCCAAAAATAGTTAGGGAAAATACTGAAAATCTTAGGCCTGGGCCCAGGTTCAGTCCCTTATAGTTCAGTGCAAAACTTAATTTTAATATTAAAATTTTTCTCATGCCCTATATGCTTCATAAACAAAAGTGTCTCTCAATTCTTTAGCCCCTTTTTCCAAGAGAAGAAGCATATGGCTCACCTCTATCCCCGTGTACTTTCCCATCATAATTTTTTATTAGTTCTTCAATGAAAGTACCATCCTGATCTAAAACTTCATCTCCCATATAAGGAATGTTATGTAAAACAGTTTCATCTTCCACCTAAAAGAAAAAAATATATTTAAAAAGCAGGTTTACTCTAAGTATCAAATGTGAAATAACTAAAATACAACCTTTTTTTCATGTGTACATGTCTTTACCCAGTTCTCCAGATTTAAAATACTAGTCAGAGAGCAAACTCTAAAATTTATCAAAAAATAAAAGACCCCTCTCACCAATAAGCATATCTGAGAAAACTGTTGACAGAAAAAAAATTTAATTCTAGAAAAAATAATGCACTTAGTCTGTCATCAATCATTAAAACTTACCACCATTATTGTACATACCTCTAAGAAAGAAAAAGATGCTCTAGATTATGAGAAGACATCGTCTGTTTTTCTGTTTTTGTTTTTTAATTGAGACGAGTGTCTCACTATGCTGCCCAGGCTGGTCTCGAACTCCTGAGCTCAAGTGATCCACCCGCCTTGGCTCCCAAAGTGCTGGGATAACAGGTGTCTGACACCATGAGCCACCATGCCCAGCCATCATCAGTTTTAACGCGCACTTTAGATGTTAATAGAGGATGATGAAATATGGTGTATCAAGATCAACTATAAAGACCCATACCAAAAAACTACCCTAAGACTCCCAAACTCCACTTGATGATCCAGTTATTAAAACAGCCATTAACTTGTAATAGTTTAAGGTAAAATGAAAAAAAAATGTAAGACATCCAATATAATAAAATTCTAGGGATACAGAGTATTGATAGTCCATTAAAGTTTATGCCAAAAGGATATGTACTTATATGTAAAATAAGAACATTCTACAAAAACATAAAATATTTCAATATTTAGATGAATGAGATGAATATCAAAGTTGACAGTGCTAGTAAAGATGATAGATGAGTTTTTATCAAGCTTTGGAAGACAACAGAGAAGAAAGAAGAATAGCCAATCAAACAAAAGTTAAGACAGAATAGAATAGTTAAGCATACAAGGTAAAGAAAGTTGACATTCATAGGAGGAAGAGCATTTTCAATGAAGAATAAAAATGACAGCAGTTATAGATAAAGACTGGACAGTTCTGAAGTACATGTTTAAAGAGACTAATTCCAAGTGAAGACAAGTCTAAGTCTTAAGAGGCCTTTGAAAAGAGTATTGGTTGAAAACAGAATTTTAGAAAGATAATTATAATAAGCAGAATGGACTGGCTATGCCTGACTGGGAGGACACAGAAGCTCTTTAAAGGGTGAGATGGCGTAGGCTCGGCCCAGCACTATGATCATGGCCCACAGGTAAGAACACGCTGGGAAAGGCCACACACAGGACTAGTAGCAGCCAGGGAATGTGGAAAAAATCTCAAATAATCCCTAGGTAACAAATTTAGGACAACTGGAGAGTTCATAAAGATAACAAGTACCGTAGACAGACAAGGAAAAGAAAAAGTGGGATAAAAGGAGCATATAATTAAAATGCAGGTTTTAATGTATTCATATATTCAAATTCAAGCTTATGTACACACTAGAGGCCTGTTTTCATCTCATTTCACTTGCACTAATCTCATTTAAACTAGGGGTTGATTTCTTTCTATCTAAGCCAAAATCAAGTGACACTTAGATATTTTGTCTTTTCAATCATATCCACATCATCCTGCTCTCCAAAACGTATCTTAGTTACAATAAAGATTGTGTGCCTAATCTGCTTTGGTCAGCAAAATCAGACAGGGTCTGGCTCTGTCACCCAGGCTAGACCAGCAAAATCCATGGGTGATTCATAAATTAATGACAAATTTAAATAATATATTCTTCCAGAATTTCAGTCTGTGAAAACATGAAACTTCCCTCAAGGTCATGCAATGTAATTCTCAAACTACACTCAAATTTATACAACTACAGAAGAGTAACTGAAGTTGAGACTCTACTGTACAAAGTATAAAAGTTACTAAAAACTTCCCCAAAGCAGGTTCACCAAGGACTTCTATCAACATTTTATTAGCCTTCCCACTTTATATATCAATTAAGTAATACAACTATATATTTTTTATTTAGCAATACAAGTCAAGAACACATGCTTCAGTTTCTCTTTAGCATTTTATTACAAAAGCTGCTGCGTCAGAGTTAGCAATGGAACTATGTTTCAGCTCATGTTTCACAAGCCCTATGAATTTTACACCATAATGTACATTATCACAATAAAATGCTACCTAAAGTTGTTTTAAATAATAAGTTCTCAATTAACAAAAACTCAAAGTCAGACTTAGATTACAGGACACTGACTTTTTTAAGGATAAGAACTATAAGCTTCATTCCTTTTGTTTTTTTCAGACAGGGTCTGGCTGTCACCCAAGCTAGAGTACAATGGCACAATCTCAGCTCACTACAACCTCCGCCTCCCTCAAGCCATCCTTCCACCTCAGCCTCCTGAGTAGCTTGGGACTACAGACATGCGCCACACCCAGCTAACTTTTGTTTTGAGGACACAGCGTTTTGCCATATTGCCCAGGTGGATCTCCAATTCCCAGACTCAAGTAATCCATCTGCCTCAGCCTCCCAAAGTGCTGGGATTACAGGCATGAGCCACAATGCCCAGCCCATCTTTTAAATATTTTTAATCCTAGGTATGGTTACTGCTTAACACTTTTCCTTTGGAGAGTATAGGAAAAGAGTAATACTGCACAGGCCTTAAAAAAACTACCTTAATCAATTTTTAAAAATTACTTCAAGTGTTATTTTGATAGCTTTTTAGAATTTATACTGTCTTGATTCACCTTGACAATAAAATTATCTATGCTTTTTTACTTCAAATAAGTTATTATCAAATAAGCAGAAGATATCTTATTTACATACCATAAAATTCTGCTGTAGGGGAGACCAAGAATACATTATGGGTACTGAAGCAACTGCATTCAGAGTCTTTAATGGGATGACTTGTGTTGGAAAATCCAAGTCACTGGTCACCGAACACTAAAACAGAAAAAATAAAATTGACTCTTAAGAATAAAAGGACAACCTTAAGCTGTAGCCATCATATTGTAAAGAGATGCTGCCTACCCAAATATTTAATTTTGAAAAAAAAGTCCTTACCTAGGACAGTAAAGTGGTCATATAAACCAAATAGGATTCTCTCTTTTCTTTTACTTAGGGTGCAAAAATGCTTCAAATTTTCCAAATTTTCAAAACCTCCAACCCTTCCCATACTTACCAATATCAGTAAGAATCAAAAACTGTACTTATATGAGATTCAGCGATCTGATTAACTCCTCCATGCTTTTCCTATACATTTATTTCCTAGCTCATCCTTCATTTCTCTTACATTCCAACCACACAGAATAGTAATATGTATACCAAATAAGCCACTTAAATCTTACTTAATAAGAATAAGAAAACTTGGGCCGGGCGCGGTGGCTCACGCCTGTAATCCCAGCACTTTGGGAGGCCGAGACGGGCGGATCACGAGGTCAGGAGATCGAGACCATCCTGGCTAACACGGTGAAACCCCGTCTCTACTAAAAATACAAAAATTAGCCAGGCATGGTGGCGCGCGCCTGTAGTCCCAGCTACACGGGAGGCTGAGGCAGGAGAATGGCGTGAACCCGGGAGGCGGAGCTTGCAGTGAGTCGAGATCGCGCCACTGCACTCCAGCCTGGGCGACAGAGCGAAACTCCGTCTCAAAAAAAAAAAAAATAAAATAAAATAAAATAAAAAGAATAAGAAAACTTGTTCAGTTAATCTTCCTTATCTTCCTTTTTTAAAATCTAAGTGTCAATTGCTGATATTATCAGATGATACATAAATATTAAGGGTAATGGGTTTGTGTTTCAATCACAACAAAGTAAATTTAAGTCTATTCTGCAAAACTGTAATCTCTGAATTAATAATATTAGCTGATTACTAAGTACTTTCTATGTGCTAGGCTATTTTAAACACATTACATGTCTTCTATTTAATCCTCATTACAACACTGTAAGATGGGTACTACTCTTAGCCCCCATTTTACAGGTGAGAAAACTATAGAAAAGAAAGGATAAGTAGCTTGCCCAAAGTTGCGCATGGTTCTCGGGCTAGAATGTAAACTCCAAAAGCCTGACTCTGGAGCCCCTGCTCTTCCCGCTCCTTATATTGCCATGATACCATATTGCTAAAATGTGTCAGTGCACATAGTCCCTTGAAACACCATATTTCATACAATCTATGATGACAGCGATTTCAAGGTACATCATTATCTTCTGTATCACTAAGAAAAAATGCTGCCAACTAAACAAAGGTATAATCCATTCTTATCACAGTGATTCTAAGATGCATGTTGTTTCCAATGTTAAAATGTGAAAAATTTTGCATCTTTGATTCTCTGAAATATGGTATAACTCTGTGCCTAAATAACCACAGCACTTTCCACCCTGTCTACGAATCCGAGATTCCTTAAAGAGTACTACTGCCCAGGTGTAAGTCCTCCAGAGCCTTCTCAAAAATATCCTAGACATACATTCATAATCCACAATCAATGAAAATAGAGCAAAAAAGAAGTGTAGTAAAATGAAACTGAAAAATCATTATATATATATATATACACACACACACACACACACACACACACACATATTAAATGTTTAAATTTTTTATTTAAAATGTCTTAAAAATAGCAGAACTAGTTGTGGTGAAATTCAGAGTAGAAATCTGGCATATGGGCCACACCTGACCCTCAGCATTGGGTTGCATCAGGCCAGTGGGATAATCTCTCAATCATCACAGTCACTGCAGCACAAAAATAATTCCTTCCTTAGTGGAAGTAAAGGTTTAAGGATGGAGTAGTTAGGAAGAACTGTGACAGTGATTCATCTATTAATTTGCTTTCCAAAAAGGCAAAGATAAAGGTAATAATACTAATAAGGCTCTTAACTCGAGTAAACAAGAAGGTGTGAACAGTTTACTAACACTCCAGAGCCCACAATCTTTCCCCTTCCTGCTATTTGGCCTCTGATACAATCCTTCATCCATCCATCCAATAATCCAATAAAAACAGCAGTTAACATTTATTGAGCACGTACTATGTTGCAGGCACTGTGCTAAGTGCTTGTATATATTATCTTAATTATTCCTCATTACAACCTTATGGTGTAGTTTTAGCATCAAAACTTCACAAATGAGGACACTGAGGTTCAGAGAAGTTATACAATTTGTCTAGTCAGAAAGGTAGCAAATTACAAAACCAGGATTAAAACCTGGATTTAAAGTCTGACTGCAACACCCGTGAGCTTAATTAATTACTGCACTGTAGTTCTTGCCCTTGCAATGCTCATGGGGTAAAATAACAATTACAGCCATGCAGTATTTACTATATAAAACAGAGACATGGCTGGGCACAGTGGCTCAAGCGTATAATCTCAGCACTTTGGCAGGCCAAGACGGGCAGATCGCTTGAGCCCAGAAGTTCAAGACCAGCCTGGGCAACATGGGGAAACCCTGTCTCTACTAAAAACACACAAAAAATTAGCCCAGCAAGGTAGCACGTGCCTGTAGTCCCAGCTACTTGAGGGGCTGAGGTGGGAGGATCACTTGAGCCTGGGAGGCAAAGGCTGCAGTAAGTTGTGATCAGCACCACTGCACTCCAGCCTGGGTGACGACGGGAGACCCCGCCTCAAAAAAAAAAAAAAAAAGAAAATAGAGACATAATGTAATAGGAGCATCTCCTCCAACAACAACTTATTAATACTACCAAGTCTTCTTTCCTTCTTTCTACTTAACTGGGTAAATTTGGGGGTGGAGGTGCTTATAATTACCGAATATACTGAATATAATTACTGATACTGATAGTATCAAATACTATCCAGTGACTTAAAGTACAAAACAATTTTCATTTCTTAAAAAAAAAAAATTCCGATTTTTTTAACATTTGGCAGGAATAAATTAATTCTGTGGCTTCTGAAGGAAGAAGTGCTTTGAAAGCTTAATGGGGAGTGGGCTGCCTCTCCGACTGACTTATTCACCTGCTTTAACACCTAACTCCAAAGTCGCACATAAGGGTTAGAGAATGAGTTTTCAACTATGACAAAGAAGGAGCATTGGCTTTGCTTCATCTATGGTTGCTCTAGTGATACAGCAAATACTCTGCAAATTCTGAATGAAGTCAGCTGATTTTTCCCATTAACAGAAAGAACTTATGGAAGCACAGAAAATATTAAGGCACAGGCTGCAGCACTACGTACTACTTCCAGTCCCATACCTCTGTCATACCCCAGTATCCCATCGCCTCAGTTCTGAGTCATGCGAGAGTCACTAAGAGACAAGAAATAAGCTCTCTGAGGGCAAAAGCAGCTGAGCCAAGTGTGGCTTCACCTCTGTCTTGAAACGATACTCAGCACAGTGTCTCAAAA
The DNA here is from genome assembly GCF_000001405.40 of Homo sapiens. Taxonomy (NCBI): domain Eukaryota; kingdom Metazoa; phylum Chordata; class Mammalia; order Primates; family Hominidae; genus Homo; species Homo sapiens. Next base: position 148,836,158 of record NC_000007.14, read on the forward strand.
AAACAGTAGGCACTCAAAAAATGTTTCTGGAATGAACAGACTACACTTGATGATTTTCTCTAATGGAGACTTCAATTTCTGTTTCAAGCTAAGAGAGCACCTATTTAGAAAACTGATGGTCTACCCCCACCTCACTGTATTTCTAGTATCTAGAAACCTATCCCATTCTTTACTATTAACCGTAACTAACAACCATATTCCTTTCATTTATGAAATATTCAAATGCAAAAGCATTTGTTGGTGAAAACAAACGTGGGATTCTTATTTATTGACTTACAGAAAAATTACTCAAAAATCCCAGTTACTTACCAGCAACTTATTTTTCTTTGAAAATGTATCATCCTTGACAGTTTACATAATTAAGTCTCATGTCACTCAGAGTAGTGAAAAGAATTTTTACCTCATGGGTCTCCACATTTCACCTGGTCAGAGCCATGTGTCCTGGACTCAGGAACTTACTAGGAGACCTTTATCAACAAATTAGATTCTCTAATTCCAGTTCCAACTTGAGGATCACACAAGGAAGTTAGAGATGATTCATCATCAATGGTTTAAAAAAAAAGGGGATGGGGGGGACTAGAATCATTACCAAGGATGCTACATTTTCAGAGAAACACAGCTTACTGGTAAGTAACCAGGTTCCTCTGAGGATGGATAGACTTACATCAACCAGCTGGTACAATAGGCGACTGTGTGGCTGGACCACTGGGAGCTGGAGAGGGAAGTCAAGCCAAAAATAGTAGTTGTAGGAGTACACAACCAAACTGAGACTCTTGGCAGAAGGCTGGTTCCAAGTAAAAACTGTGTTATGGAAAATCGTAGAGGGAAGAGCAGGTGAATGGCCTGCAGGGAAGGGAAAGAAATTAACACACCCTACTATGTGCCAAGCACTGTGCTAGAGACTTTACCAAAGTTAGCTTCTTTAAATTTCACAACTACCCTGTGAGGTAGGTATGACTCCCCATTTTACAGTGGACATCCCAAAGACAACAGCCATGGCCGTCCTGCCTCTGAATAATCTTTAACATGAGAAAGGCTAAGTCCAACTTCCATATAGTAGGGGAAAACATACAATCAATTAGCCAAGTAAAAAATATTCTCAGATACTGGTTGGTCCATTTATTTCATGCCAGAGACATAGTAAACTGTTGACATTGTCTAACATCCTGTAGCCTTTCCATGTGACAACAGCGAGGAAGGTGCAGGAAGGTCGGCACTCCAGGAAAGGAAGAGTCAGAAGAAAGCATCAGCTGTCACCAAGTCTAGAGAAAAGCTGGGGGTGATTTCTGAAACTACCCTATATTCTGCAGGACTTGAGGAAAGAAAAGATAACACGCCCAAGTTTTAAATTAGCTAGCCCTTCTGGTGAAAATGACCGTGTATATAATTTAAGTTCAGGCTACTTTTATGCAAAGTAAGTACTGAAGAAAAACTGCAATGAGATAAATAGCAAATTTGGATAAAGTAAAGAGAAGCTCAATAATGGAAGTGAATTCATAATCAGGTTGAGAAGGCAAAATAGGAGAAGGGAGATTGAAGACGACACTTGAAAAGAAATGAGTCGCTCCAACAGGAGAGAGGCAGAAACAAAAACGGAAGAAAAAACCCCATTAAGATATTGACACAGATGTATTTAATGAAAGCAACTAATCAAGTGTTGGAGTTAAGAAATGAAAAAGAGTAATTCATATCAGATTGTAAATTATTTCAGTTTGTGTTGTTCAGTATTTGTTACAGACCAATTCCACATTGGGTGAAGAACCTCTACCCTACAACACAAGGGTATTTGCTTCTCAGTTCACTTTTATCCTGTAATTAACGGTTTCTACATTCCAAGGGGCGGGGAATGATAACACAGCATTTAACATAGGACATTTGGAATACAGTATCGGGAAGTTTAGACTCCTTTTTTTTTTTTTTTTTTTTTTGAGACAGGGTCTAGCTCTTGTTGCCAAGGTTAGAGTGCAGTGGTGCAATCATGGCTCACTGCAGCCTCAAACTCCTGGGCTCAAATGATTATCTCACCTCAGCCTCCCGAGTAGCTGGGACTACAAGTACGTGTCACCACATCTGGCTAATTTTTTTATTTTTTATTGAGATGGGATCTCACTATGTTGCTCAGGCTGGGAGGAAATTTAGATCCTTAAAGCTCTTCCCCGCATCCTACCTTCAGAAGCCGGGCCCTGAATGAAAGGAATCACAAACATGCAAACCTACTTAATCCTAGGTTAAAATCCTGAAGGGCTGTTAAGGTAAATCATTCCCTCATCTGCAGCTTTGCGGAAAAACTCCAGTTTTGCTAAGTACTGGAGATCAGAAACAGAATAATCATCACAGGTAGTAAGCACTCAAAAAAGTACATGAAGCAGGTAACAAGAGTGATGTTCATCCACCACATGTAAATTCAAATTTCTAATTCAATAACAGTCCTGTGAGTAGAAAAAAGAACAATTTCTGTCATTGGGGGAAAAATCAACTAAAATGGAACAGAGAGTATTATATAAATCTATAGTTTATATAGGCTGTGGCAGTAAAATTGTTTTGAAGCCTTGCTTAAATCAGTGGATCTGGGTTTAATACTACAAAGTAGTAGAGGTTCAAGTGAGTGGGCAAGACCAGGCGCAGTGGCTCAGGCCTGTAATCCCAGCACTTTGGGAGGCCAAGGTGGGCGGATCACTTGAGGTCAGGAGTTCAAGACCAGCCTAGCCAACATGGTGAAACCCTGTCTTTACTAAAATACAAAAATTAGCCAGGTGTGGTGGTGCATGCCTGTAGTCCCAGCTGCTCTGGAGGCCAAGGCACAAGAATAGCTTGAACCCAGGAGGCAGAGGTTGAGGTGAGACAAGATGACGCCACTGCACTCCAGCATGGGTAATAGAGCAAAACTCTGTCAAATAAGGAAGGAAGGAAGGAAGGAAGGAAGGAAGGAAGGAAGGAAGGAAGGAAGGAAAGTGAGTGAGCAAGATGGCACAGGCTGTGGTTTCTGAAGGGAAACACTTCAGGTCTTGCTCGAGTGGTAGAACTGCCCAGGAAACCACCAACCAAGAAGGCTGATTCTGCTGATCTTCAAAAACAAGTTTACAACTGCCCCTCACTATTCATTAATTACTCAGTAAATAGTGTTGAAACAACCAGGAAACTAAAAAGAACAAAATTAAAAACCAAATCCCCTACCCATTCTTTACACCAAAGGAAATTCCTGATGGGTTAAATGATATTAGAATATAAAAATGAAAACAGAGAACTAAAGGAAAGATAGGTAGATAATTTATAATCTTGAAGTGAAGAAAGACTTTTGGAACCTTTAAGAAAGACAAAAATTAAAAGAAAAAACTGTATAACCAAGATATATCAGAAATAACATCAAAATGGGGGGGGGGCAATCTGCAAAACATATGACAAAAAAAACTATTTTTTTTTGTTTTTTGTTTTTTTGAGATTGAGTCTTGTGATCTCGGCTCACTGAAACCTCTGCCTCCTGGGTTCAAGGCATTCTCCTGCCTCAGCCTCCCAAGTAGCTGGGACTACAGGCGCACACCACCATGCCCAGCTAATTTTTTTGTATTTTTAGTAAAGATGGGCTTTCACCATGTTGGTCAGGGTGGTCTAGAATTCCTGATCTCAAAAGGTCTGCCCACCTTGGCCTCCCAAAGTGCTGGGATTACAGGCGTGAGCCACTGCACCCAGCCAAAACTAGTATTTGTAATATACAAAAAGTCCTTATGAATCATAAGAAAAGCCCAACCTAATTGCACAAGATCCAACACTGTAACAGCCAATTCACAAATATAAACAAACAGTAACTGACATTTAACTTCACTGAATAATTAAGACACGGTATAACCAATTCTAACAATGTTTTACCTATTGGACTGAAGATTAAGATTGATAATATTGTGTTGAGAATATAGGTAAACAGACATTCCATAAACAGCTGGTGGGGGTGTAATGTAAAACTTTTGAGGGTGCATTTGGTAATATCTGCTAAATTTTTAAACATGCATATCATCTTGATCTAATAATTCTATTTGTAGGAACTTCTACAGAATTACTCAAAAGATGCAAGGATGTATATAAAGTTCAGTACAGCACTGATTGCAAAAGTAAAAATTAAAAATCTAAATGTCCATCAAGAATGGGGCAATAAATTATGGTATATCCATAATGTCAAACACTACATATTTTTTAAAAGAATGAAAATTTGGACAGAGGTTGTAAAGTGATGGCCCAAAATGGAAAGGATGTATATCTGGCCAATAATTTTTAAAAATAAAATATTATTAACCTCCTAGTATATATAGAAAATGAAATCTGAAAGAATAAAAGCCAGAGCAGTTGGACTACAGGGACTTTTGCTTTCTGTTTTACCTATTTCTGTGTTATCTAAATTTTTACAATAATCATTTTACAATGATCTGTTCAGTGGAGAGAAAAAGATAAAACTTTTAAACTAGTTTCATTAGCCCAACAGGTAGTCACATTAGCTAGTATAAAACTGCCTTGTTGGGTAGCTTATGAAATCTGCCCAGCCTTTCCAAAATGTTACTCAAGTGATATTCTTTTATAAAATCTGCTAAGAGAAGGTAAGACAGAATCCTAAGGAGTAAATTTAAGTCAATCCCTATTATAAAGCTAAATTATGGCAAAAGTCCTCGGTCTAATGCAATTTTCTTGTTTCTTCAGAGAATAAAACAATTTCTAACATTCCAGATTAACCAAGCACTTTTGTTTGTTTGGATTTGTTGTTTTATTTTTAAATAGTTGTCAGAACTCGGTTTTGCATTTGGGGAAGATACATGATCTTTATAACAATAATTTATAAAACACAAACTATATATACAATATTCTAGGAGAAAAACTACAAATGAAAAGCAACTTCTGCTAGTTTTATTAGTTGCCTAAATTTGACTTTTTAAAATTCACCTTTTAAACTGAAGATATATAATCAAATTTAAAATATAAACATAATAAATGACATGTATTTAATATATGATGCTATATGAACTCAAATATCACAAATGACCTTTTTTTTTTAAGCTAACCCTTTGGAAAAGCATAAAATGCTTATATTAGTTTCTGCTCACAAGAAAAAAAAAATCCTTATATGATCATTTAAGAAATGTTACATCTATTTCAGCCTAAATAAAGCCAGAAAGAAAGCAAAGGCTGCATGGATTTACAAGTTATACAGGTGGGAATGACTGACAGTTAACCTAACAAGACTCAACTCTCCAAGTAAATACCAATAATAGTTAAAAGAGGCAAGGAGCTACAGAAAGCAACTCAGAGACCACTTCCTTGAGGCAATAAGAATGAGTGTATATGTTCAGACTAAGAGTAAGACAGACACTTGAAGAGCCATCCACTTAATTTAAAGACATGAGAAAAGTGACCAGCTTTCTGCCATATTTGCTCAAAAGGTTCATGAGAATCTAAACCTATAGGGCCTATAATCCTGCAATGTATAAAGAAACCATGTTACTACACTCAAAGAATGTATCTGAGTAAAGTACACTAAATTATACATGAAATACACTAGGATATTATTTTTTCTTTGTAAACAGTGACTAAATTTTCATTTACAATTAACTGAAGGAACTTCATTACTAAATCAATAAAAAATGCAATCGAGTGTTTACATGTAACAGGTATTTTTCTTCTCCTTCAACAAAAATGTTAAGTCCAAACTGCCAACATACAAAATAATTTACACATTATTTTGATAGAAGCTTCTCCCCCCAAAAAAATCTGCTAATATCAAATGCTAAGCAATGAACTTAAAATCATTTCAAATATTACTATGAAGAGCAAATCTGTAAATATTTAAAAGTCCAAAAGTTTTTAAATTCTTCATACGAGGACCGTGATCCCCTTCTGATGCTGCTTCTATTAGACATTCTGAAGCCCCAAGAATATACACCATATTCTCTCTTTTCATTAGTAAACAAGATACAAAACTCTTACAAGAACATTATATTCTCCTGGGAATCTAGAAATGTATATTGGCAAGATGGATTAAATTACTAAACTAATCATACCATTTGCCCAGAAGACAGGCACTATCTAAGCAAACTTCTCTTTCAGTCATAACACATACAGTAGAAAACATTTTGATATGAAGTCAGTGAAGGAGAAGTGTCTTGTGATTATCAGCAAGAAATGGGCAGATGTACGAAAAAGAAATACATTAATGAGAACCTCAAGAGTAACTCTTAAACCAGTTTCTTCATTAAAAATGGAAAAAGAGACACAATGAAGAATATAACTACCAATATGAAGACCTACAGAACATAGTTATTACTGGTTGACAAGACAAAGTTATGAAAGTCACCTAGTAACAATTTCTTGACTAACAGTGACATATTATGGGAATAAAATGTACATCCCTTGACCTATATGTATTGATTAATGACAGTGTGAAGCTGGATGCTTCTTTAAAAGATTAACTTAAGAATAAAAGAAATAAACGTAAAACAGATATAGTCACTGTCTTCAAAAAGTCAGAAGTGTTTTTTAAAAGTAAACACATTCTGTATTAAAATTCTATGAACAATAATGCTTAGGTTCTATAATCTCAAAAACAAAAAAAAAAGAGTTGCCCTAAAGTATCTTAAAAACACATTAAGGGACGGGTATGGTGACTCACACCTGTAATCCCAGTACTTTGGGAGGCCAAGGCAGATGGATTGCTTGAGCCCAGGAGTTCGAGACCAGCCTGGAAAACATGGTATGACCCTGTCTCTACAAAATAATACAAAAAAATTAGCCCGATGTGCTCGGTGGCTCACACTTGTAATCCCAGCACTTTGGGAGGCCAAGGTGGGTGGATCACCTGAGGTCAGGAGTTCGAGACCAGCCTGACCAAAATGATGAAACCCCATCTCTACTAAAAATACAAAAACTAGCCGGGCGTGGTGGCATATGCCTGTAATCCCAGCTACTCAGGAGGCTGAGGCAGGATAATCGCTTGAACCTGGGAGGCAGAGGTTGCAGTGAGCCGAGACTGCACCATTGCACTCCAGCCTGGGCAACAAGAACGAAACTCCGTCTCAAAAAAAAAAAAAAAAAAAATTAGCCCGATGTGGTGGCGTGTGACTGTAGTCCTAGCTACTCAGGAGGCTGAGGTGAGAGGATCGCCTGAGCCTGGGAGGTCAAGGCTGCTGTGATTGTACCACTGCACTCCAGCCTAGGCAACAGAGCAAGACCCTGTCACAAAAACAAAACAAAACCACACACAGTAAGAAAACCACATACTGGAGATGTGGTCTTTGGGTTCAAATGCAGAGCTCCCTGACCTGAAGTCAGCATCTAAAGCACTCACTTCAGTAAACTTTTGTCCGACATTCTTTACCAAAATAACTTGGAGAAAATCAGTCATTTTCAAACTGAGTATATCCACTTCTACAACTACAAATGGGAGTATAAGTTTTTTTTTTTTTTTTTTTTTTTTTTTTTTGAGACAGCGTCTCGCTCTGTCGCCCAGGCTGGAGTGCAGTGGCGCGATCTCGGCTCACTGCAAGCTCCGCCTCCCAGGTTCACGCCATTCTCCTGCCTCAGCCTCCCCAGTAGCTGGGACTACAGGCGCCCGCTACCACGCCCGGCTAATTTTTTGTATTTTTAGTAGAGACGGGGTTTCACCTTGTTAGCCAGGATGGTCTCGATCTCCTGACCTCGTGATCCGCCCGCCTCGGCCTCCCAAAGTGCTGGGATTACAGGCGTGAGCCACCGCGCCCGGCCAAATGGGAGTATAAGTTTAAGACCTGACAAAAGAACTAAAAATTGTCATTGATTTGTCATGCTGCAGAGGATTTAAATTGAAGACACCAGCACTTACATATAATTAGCTTATAAAAGCAAGCAGTTAATTAAAACAATGCTATAATGGCACTTCAAATGTTGAATGCTATAGACTTTACGTGTTTGAATCAATACTGCAGTCTGAAATTCTGCCAAGCCTACCACTAGGAAAGTCTTTGCCAAACAAGAATCACTTTTATTTTCTCCTCCCTACCTGACCTACTTCAGACTAGAATCTTTCAAATATATAAAAGAAATAATATGTAGATGGAAATGCTTAAACGAAAGAAAAAATAAACAGGGATATATTCTCATCTGAAAAGTCAGGAGGTTGGACCATGAGACCACTACAGTCCTTTTTAGCCCTAAAGCTTTACGATTTATTGTGATAACACCAAGAAGCTTATCACAAACGATATAAACTCTGGCTTCTAAAAGTCAGTGGTGATGGTTTAAAAAGGCGGAAAGGGGAAATAATAGATGGATCATCTGAAGCAGGATCAGCTACCAACACCAGCAACAAAAAAAATGACTGACCTTAATCAGGTCAGAGTTCTATGCAACAAAAACTGGATTCCTAAGGCTGGGGATTATTTTCCTCCTTTTCCCCCATACTCTGTGAAAATGTTTATTCTCAATCTGCGTGTGTGTGTGGTACTGTGGAAGTACTAACTTTAGAAAACAATTTTGTTTTATTAAAATGCTGATTTCTTCTCCCAATTTTTCACATAAACTCACGAACATTAGGTATCTTTATATTCAACGATTTGTCTCCATTTGACAAAATTAAAAGAAAATTTCAATTAGTAAATATCCACTTGAACAAACAATACTCTTAAATTTAATGCCAAATATACTATGAGCAATTCAAGTTGTATGTCAATAATGTACTTCACTAATACTTCATGTGTCTGAGCAAAGTGTGCTCTTCTGGGCCCACATCAGATCATTAGAGCAGGCAAACTGACTAAATGCTTCTAAGGCTCAGTTTCCTTGCCTGGATTAAAAAAAAAAAAGTGTAATACTCCTTCCTTATCATGAAGATTAAAAGAGGTAATGTGTACAAAGTACCTAGCACAGTGACACAATTCATTATTGCTGTTGACTTTTATTATAAACCTAAGTTAGGCTTTTGATAGCATTCTGAGATTCATAATGGGTGGCAAAAATAAGTTTTCCATGTGAATCTACCTAATTTCTCCAAATTTCTAAGATTTATTCCTCCAGAGAGAAAATGAGGTTTTTCTTTCAATTCAACATTTCTAAAAGGTCACCAAATAAAAACTTTCAAAGCAATTACTTAAAAGCCCCATCCTTATTCCCTTTAAGAACGTTCTGATGGGCATCAAAAAGAATCCCTTTCCCCCATGCCACTGACCTCTAACATCTAGGCTCTGGCCTGTACCAGATGAGGAGGAAAGTGTCACTGTATAATCAATATTTATACAATTATAAGTCAGAGCTTTACAGAGGTGTCACCTAACAAAACGCATAAATGACTAAGAATCATTCCAAGTGTCACCATCAAGACCACCAGAATATCACTAAAATCTGCATTAGGATTATGTCTGTTGCTACTGGGATATCACTGACAAGTCTTTGAAGCTCATATGTCACACAATCTCCAGAAGGCCTCATACAATAGCAAATTGTTGCTTGTTACAATAATGTTATATTAAAAATGGCTACTCGTTGAAAAATTATCTTAAAACAAATTCCATTGTTTAGGTGCTTCCCATATTTAGACATTCAGATAAACAATCTACTACATAGTGCAATTTTAATTCCAACTCGCTCTTTCCCCTTTTGCTTCAACTCCCCTTTAAATATCCTATGCCATGTCTTTCTATACAACACAGGCACTTAAAAACAGAAATGCCTAAGCTATTTAGACTTTTGCCATTTTCTTCTCATCTTGCTGCAATCATGTTTTAACGGGATATTTAATTATAGATTCTACCATAGATTTACTGCCTTTCTTTGAAAATAGGAAACTCTTGGAGTAATTAAGAGCTAGCTCGTTCAGAAAGTACTATAGAAAAAGAAATTCCAATCTCTCAACAAGAAATTTAAAAATTCTTATAGAGAGGCTTAGCCTTTGAACAAAATATATAATAAAAAGCTTTCTTGTCCATGAATATTAAAACATTTCTTACCACATGGCTAATTCAAATTGGGGTTACAACAGTGAGTCAGAAAACCTTGCTCTAAATAGTGATCTGATGAGGACATTAAAGAGTATTTGATTTAAAAGCTTTTTTTTTTAAATCAACATTCTTATAAAATCTAGGCATCTACCTAGTTCAAAGTATATTCCAAACACTTAGAACTCTGTTATAGGAATAGCTAATAGTGTGATCTACAGCAGTCATTAACAGTTGCACATTAAAAAGAAATAGCAATAAAAAGATGGACACCCTGAGGTCAATGATTTCCTCCCAATAACCAAACAAATGTTCCAATAGCATAAACCAAAAGATGATGATAATTACTACAACATGTTATGTTAACCAACCTCCCTAGTCCCGCGCAATGAGCTCACAGAAGTCAGGATGTGCACAGGCTGTATCCTTCGCTGTTTCCATTCTTGGTTTAAGATTTCCGTTCTTTCCAAAATTTTCTGACGATTGGAACTAAACATACTCTTAAAAAAAAAAATGAAGGAGAGGAAAGGAGAAATTGTTCATTGTTAGAAAATGTATAACACCTGTAAAGCAGGTTAAAAATCTAGTGTATCCTCAAAAATATCAAGAACATTTTCTTAGGTGCATATAGATTTTACACTATAGTTTCCCACATTCAAATAATACAAAAACACCACATCTGTTATTTTATTGCAAGTGGTTAGAGAACAGGAAACGATTGCCATCCTTTCTTTGTTGACTGTGTGTGTGTGTGTGTGTGTGTGTGTGTGTGTGTGTGTGTGTGTATTTTTTTTTTTAATCACAATGACTTTAGAAACATAAAATCATGAAATGCATCCCTTTATATTTAGGGAGGCATTTCTGCAGCTGCATATGCAAATAAAAGTATACTAAACAAAGACTGATTAATGTGCATGGTATAATGTTAAGACAGATCAAGAACCTAAGCTTCCAAGTATTCACTCATCTTATTGTAAATACAAACTTGGCTAGAATTATTTTAAATAAAAACTTATTGAACTTAGGAGGGGAAAAAACCTATCCTTAATTGTATATTCATTTTCACAAAAGATAAAATTATACCTTTACTTCATCAGCTCGTCTGAACCTCTTGAGCTGTCTCAGTCGCATGTACTCTGATTTTACACGCTTCCGCCAACAAACTGGTCCCTTCTCAGATTTCTTCCCAGTCTGGCCCATGATTATTCTAAAAGCAATGGTTTCATATTAAAATCACTAATCTAACCAGCCTGAATATGATCACCTGTGTTTTAATCCGCAGCAAACTAACAATCAGTGAAGAAATGACACATATTACACTGTTGGCATTTACAGAAAGGTGCTCATTTGTGCTGCATGGTTAAATCCTTAAAACACTTCATTGAAAGTTTAAGTTAAACTTAAAATACACTTTTATTTACAAAAATTCTACACTAAATTGCGGCCATATTATAGGAACATGATCCCATTACAGGAATTAGGTATACTATACTATATCACAACCTAGTTTTCAACTCTATGAGATCCACATTTGTGGAGGGAAGAAAATATAAAGACAGATCCTGTTTTTCATCATTAGCTGTTACAGTAGCAAGGCATAATGGAATAATATAACTGAAAAAGGTAAATCCAAGAAGAAGTAAAATTTACAAACAGTACTAAAAGTAGAAAACATACAGTTCACCATATAATAAAATGTACAAAGGTACTCTCTCCCCACACACTTAATCATGCACCTCTCCTTAAACACTGTGATAAAGTCTGTATTTTTGCCTCTTGTGCCACCTTTATTAACATGAGGGGTTTCTGCTATCAAGCGAAAAGAGGAATGCAGGAAATGCAAAGTAAATTCTTCTGCCTTATCTTTAGTTGCAGGCTCTCAGAACCAATTATGTTTAAATGCGGGGACAGCTTATAGTTCACCAGATGTCTAATTCATACTGCAGAGTCCTCACCTTAAGTCTAAACAAGCGTCTTTTCCTAGAACATTTTCTCCTAAAGTATTAAAATCATCCTGTACCTTCAAATTATTAGCAGGACATTCTCTGTCAGGCTATGCAAAGCTTTACAGGCCACACTAACAATTTGTGCTTTATCTTAAGAACAATGAGAAGCCACTTTTAGTGTTTTAAGTAAAAGGGTGTGCGGTGAGGGAGTGAAAGAATAACTGCAACCAGGTTAGATGATGCTGCAGCACAGCATCCCGACAAGGGGTGACAGAGGCTTCTACACCACACTGGCGATGACAGGGAAAAGTACGTGAATTCAAGAGTTGCTTAGGCCAAAATTCCACCAAATGATGATTTAAATATGGAAAGTGAAGAAGAAGGTGACTTTCTGGCTTGAGCAAATAAATGAGTAGGGCAGGCTTCATCTATTTGTTTACATAAAAACTTCATGCACAGAGAAAACTGCCTAAGAAGAAGATTTAGAGTAAGAGTCCTGAGGCCAATGGGTAACTTTCTACAGAAATACTCAACCACCAACAGATGACAGAGAAGGCAGATGGCTGTTTACTCAGAGCTGTAACAAAGGGGCGAAGAAATTCATTTTCTCAAGCATGTAATAAATATTATGACCCAAGCAGTGTATACGAACTTGAATAAAATGAATATACAAATATTATTAAATCCTTGCCCCTATGGAGCTGATAGTCTACCTAAGACAAAGGGAAAAATATAGTATGAGATAGACAGACATACTTCAGTATCCCTGGGGAACTGGTTCCAGGACACCCCTCGGATACCAAAATCCACAGATGCTCAAAAGTCCGTGATATAAAGTGGTGTAATATTTGCATATCACCTATGCATAGCCTCCCATATACTTTTTTTTTTTACCTGGCTTCCTGGGATATAAGAGACTCCCATATACTTTAAATCACCTCTAGATTACTTATAATCCCTAATACAATGTAAATGCCATGTAAATAGTTGTTATACTGTATTGTTTAGAAAATAATGACAAGCAAAACAGTACAGACATGTTCAGTACAGATGCAACCATCTTTTTTTTTCTGAATATTTTTTATCTGCAGCTGGTTAAATCCATGAATTCAGGATCCATGGATTTGGAACTCACGGATATGGAAGGCTGACTGTTTATACAAAAGCACTTTGGGAGAAAGAAAAGAATATTAGGAACTGCAGAAGGATGGCAGGAAAGGTAACAAGGAACTCAATCTTAAAAGCTGAGCTGGATTTCAAAAGGCAAAGAAAGAACCTAAAGAAATCTTAGGTCTGAGCAAGAGAAAGCTGGACAGGGGGCAACTAAAGTCTGGCTGGCAGACATTTAATAAGAATGGACCTGGAGAATGAAAGTCACAAATTAAAAGGACTAAGGACCTGAAGGGAACGAAGAGATAAGAATGGGCAGGAATTTGAGTGTATTTGACATAAAGAAGGCTGATGAAATCACCAAGATAGAACTATTCCAAGTGAAAAGTTTCCAAGTGTGGCCTTGCCTGCGAGTTGCTAAAGTGGAATAAAGCTGACAGTCACTCGGATTAAGCAGGCTAAACTCAAGATGACCCCAGCTTTGAGGTAAAGCAGAAAATGGTGTTAGGAAGGCAGTGAGGTAGGACCAAAGGACATCAAAGATGAGAAGAAACTGGAGCATTATTATTTTTTAAATAATTTCATGACAATAGTTTTCTTCCTATCTGCTAGTTAGTTAACAGATGAACTCAACTAATTCTATGCAAATTACTTAAGACCACTTAGTGCTTCCAAGGCCTAGGAACTAGAAAGAAAAGGAATCAGATAAAAAGGAATGATCTGTAGCCTCATTCGCTCATAGGCTAATCACCTCTAGTCCATCTGCTGCCTAGACAAATTTCTCCTTGGAGGTAGCACCCCTGTGCAATAAGGCCTAGGGTAGTAACGTGTTTAGTTTTCACTGATGTATAATGTGGGTGTTATTACAATTTCTTTTTTTTTGAGATGGAGTCTCACTCTGTCCCCCAAGCTGGAGTGCGGTGGTGCAATCTCCGCTCACTGCAAGCTCTGCCTCCCGGGTTCACGCCATTCTCCTGCCTCAGCCTCCCAAGTAGGTGGGACTACCGGTGCCCGCCACCACGCCAGGCTAATTTTTTGTATTTTTAGTAGAGACAGGGTTTCACCGTGTTAGCCAGGATGGTCTCAATCTCCTGACCTTGTGATCCACCCGCCTCAGCCTCCCAAAGTGCTGGGATTACAGGTGTGAGCCACTGCGCCTGGCTTACAATTTATTTTTTAAGATACATATTTTATGTCTTGATGAAGACATTAGTTAGCATTTTATGTTTTAGTACTAGAACTGTCCTTGTCTAATATTCTGGAAGACTTTCCATGCTGTTTCTACCATTAATAACATACCTAATAAAGTATATCATGAAAATCTACAGCATCCAGGTAGTTCTTTGAAAGTGTAAGACTAAATAGGTAGACCTGTGAAAGAATATTAAAATTTAAAGTACCAATTAAAAGGATGTTTTACACAAAACAAACTCCCACCATCATAGCATTTATAACATATTAAAATCACATTTTCATGTATTTCACTCTATTCCCACTGTAAGTGCTTCAACAGCAAGAACCACTTTTACTCATTTGTAAAATCCCAGAGCCTGTGTGTGCCTGATAATTGTACAGTAGTCCCCACTTATCTCCCAAGACCGCCCCCCGCCAACCCCACAGCGGATGCCTAAAGCTGCAGATAGTACTAAACTCTAAATATACCATGTTTTTTCCTATACGTACATACCCATGAAGTTTAATTTATAAATAAGGCACAGTAAGAGACTGACAGCAATAACTAATGGTAAAATGAACAATTATAACAATATATTGTTACAAAAGTTACGTAGCTAGAGTCTTCTCTCTCTCAAAATATCGTAACATTTTCAGACTGCAGTTTGAATGAGTAACTAAAACCTTAGAAGGTGAAATTGTAGATTGGGGGTGGGGCGGCTATAGACTTAAAAACAAGCAAACAAACAGGTCTATTAACCCACATGAATAACGAGTAGCTTGTATCTTATCAGCATATCATTTGTAAAGCTTAGCTATAGGTATGAAAAGGAAGGGTGGCCTATCCATGCTTGAGCCAAAAAATGAGGTAAAGTGCACCCTATTATCAAGAAACCCCCCGCAAAAGGAGATAAATCGCAGGGTCAGTTAGGACCCTGTGGTTCAGTTGTCCCTACTACCAGTTAGAGATCTTCAGCCTAAAACTCAGTTTCCGGAATTTCTTTTTTAAAAGGAAGCTGATATTGCCTTAAAGACCTTATCCATAAAACCTACCTCAAAGTCTGGCAACAAAAACGAAATATACATGCAAACACACTTGGTTCTGTGCCTGGCATATAGTGAGCCTTTAGATGTTAGCTCCCCTGACCTCCTTCCCCCACAACAAACGACTGGCTCAAATCAGGCCTCTGACTCCATTTTCAGTGATCTTTTCACAACACCACAGCCAAGTAAGCATAGTATTAAAACACAGATTCAAGGCCACGTACAGTGGTTCAAGCCTGTAAACCCAGCATTTTGGGAGGCCAAGGTTGGAGGATTGAGCCCAGGAGTTCAAGACCAGCCTAGGCAATATAGTGAGACTCCCATCTCAAATCAATAAATAAGCAAGCAAGCAAGCCAGGTGTAGTGGCGCACACCTGTGGTCCCAACTACTCAGGAAGCTGAGGTGGGAGGATCTCTTGAGCCTGTGAGGTGGAGACTGCAGTGAACTGTCTTCACACCACTGCACTCCAGCCTAGGTGACAGAGCGAGACCCTGTCTCAAAAAAAGTAAAATAATAAAATACAGCTCTAAATATTCATATATTGGCAGAAGCCTTTATTTAAACGACTTCTACTGAATGGACACTGTGTAAATACATATGGTTTTTAAATTTTTCAAAGATTTGTTTAGTTTCATAGGTGAAATCCCACTAGTATGAACTTTATCCAGAATACAAAAGCAGCTTTTCCTGTTCAAAACAGATTATACCTCTATTCATTAAAACAAAAGTCTACCTGTATACAGTGAAACCAAAACAACAATGGCTCTTTAATACAAAAGCCAAACCAGAATATGGCAGGAGCCCATCAAAGCTTTAGCAGAATGTAGTGACACCTCACAGATTTACATTTACATAGGTTAACTAAAATTAAGGGCAATTACAGTGTTCACAATCTATTTTGTGAATCAAACCAAACTCAGAAATACCCTGAACACCATGCCTTACCA